>NC_000018.10:11210199-11510249 GCF_000001405.40 Homo sapiens
CATATGGCAAAAGACATATCCAGAATTGTAAATGACTCTAAAAGGGAATAACAAGGAAACAATCCCATCAAAATGGGCAAAATATTTTAACAAACTTCACCAAAGAAGATGTCGATACCACCTCACACCGATTAGAATACCGACCATCTAAGTGTTGATGAGGGCGCGGAAGAACCAGAATTCTCACACACTGTTAGTGGGAATTTAAAGTGATATAAACAACTTTCTGAAAACAATTTGACAGTGTCTTAAATAGTTAAACCTACACCTTTCATATGAACCAGCAATTTGAATTCTAGATGTTGACTCAAGAGAAATAAAAGCATATTCATATAAAGAATATTCATAGCAGCTTTATTTGTAACAGTCAAAATCTGGAATCAATCTGAACATCCATTAACAAATGAATGGATAAACACATGGTGGTATCTCCATACAGCTATAAAATGAAAGTGAACCACCGATACACACAATAATACAGATGGATCTAGAAATATTATGCTAAGTGAATAAAGTCAGAAGAAACAGAGTCTTGCTCCAGATACTTCTCCACCTATGATGGGTTATGTCCATCTAAGTCAAACCTTTACATCAAAAATGACTTAGGACATTTTCAATTTACAATGGGTTTATCCAGATGTAACTCCATGTGAAGTTGAGGAGCATTCAGAATGTGTATCACTTTTGCAGCATTGTAAGTGGAACCCTTGTAAGTCTGGGACCATCTGTATATGGTTTATTTTATATACAATTTTAGGAAATGCAAGTTAATCTAGAGTGACAGAAAGGAGGTAAGTGCTTGTCCTTTGAAAGGGAAGGGACAGGTGGGAGGACTTCAAAGGAGCCCAAGGAAATTTTCGGGGAGGATGAAGATGTTCGCCCAACTCGTGATGAGTGGCTGTGACCACAGAGACACTTAGAGAAGACCCACGGCCATATGCTCCTTTTCTACCAGAGCCTAATAGCATGACAAGAAGTCCTGCTCAGCTGAGGTGTACTCATCAGTAGACAGCAGGGTCTTGCTGCAGAACCCCAGGGGGCGGCACTGTGGATCTCCTAATGGGGTTCATCAGGGACTCCGTAGGCATCTTCATGTACCATGGATATCTCTGTGGTATTGTGGTATCTGACAGGTCACATGGTCCAAGTAACAAGGGTATTTGCGTCATAGCATGAACCTGCTGCAGAACCTTCTCTTACAGATTCTACTTAAAACTTGTAGCCTTTCATGTCACTTGGTCTGTGAATTGGAGCAAAATTGCAAAGTGTGGTATATGCTGCCTCCCAAATCCAAAAGGCTTTCCAAGCACTATGCTTTTGTCTTAGTGGAAGAAGATGCAAGGTATAATAACTTGTTGTTCCCCTTGGAAGGAATATTCCTGACATTTCCCAGATGACTGGACTTCACTGATATGACAGCTGCCTAAAACTTTCTGGCACTGATTTCTGACTCTGCAGCCTGCATGTGTCTCACCAGTGGATCTCTGCTACACGGCAGTAAACATGATGGCACCAATAGAGTGAACCAACGTGATGTTCTAGGAAACCTCCAGATGACGTATTGTGAAAGAAAGCAGGAACTTTGATAAAGCCCTGGGGCAAGACAGGGAACATGTCCAGCAATTGCTATCTGTTCAGGAGGGCTTTTCTCCTTTTAGATGGAGACAGAAAAGAACTCACTCACCACCTCAGTAGCCTCAGACTGCATTGATCTGCTGTCTTGCCATTTGCAGATTGCACTGGGATTGTGGCTACTGTTTGATTAAGTTTGCAATGGTTCAGTGTCATGTGCTATTTTCTTTATCTTCTCTTTTCCTTTTGTTTCCTGGTGAAGCCCTTGAAACAGCCTCCACCTGCAGCAAAGTAATAAATTATAAACACCACCACATCCCACATGAAGAGAGAGATTATTGTGGCCCTTAAGGAGTGAAAAATATGCAAATGTGTGCTTATCAATGTATCTACATTTAATTCACCAACCTGATACCAAGATAGAAGCATTATCTTATTTTACAGGCCATAATTCAATCATGAAAAGTCATGTAATGGTTCACACCATTATAAGAATTTCTTGGCTGGGCGCAGTGGTTCACGCCTGTAATCCCAGCACTTTGGGAGGCCGAGGTGGATGGATCATGAGGTCAGGAGTTCAAGACCAGTCTGACCAACATGGTGAAGCCCTGTCTCTTCTAAAAATACAAAAATTAGCTGGGCGTGGTGGTGTGCACTTGTAATCGCAGCTACTCAGAGGCTGAGGCAGGAGAATTGCTTGAACCCGGGAGGCGAAGGCTACAGTGAGCCGAGATCGCACCACTGCACTCCAGCCTGGGCGACAGAGTGAGACTCCATCACAACAGCAACAACAAAATAATCTCTTGAATAGAATCATGCATTTCTGGTGCATTTTATAGTGAAAATTACACTCCTGAATACAGGTAGACAATGGAGAGAAAAGGACAGATGCTAACATGGATTTTCTTAAAAACTGGTATAATAAAGGACTCATAGTTAAGCATCAAGCCTACCTGTGTGGCTGAGAGATTAGACCCATGCCCCCATCTTAGTGCAAAATCAGAATGCCCTCAGTGTTCTGTATGGAGAAAAGAATCAGCTGAGAAAAAGCTCCTCTGACCCCAGTTTTCCTTTCAGGTTTTGTGTCAAAAAGTATTGTTTGTAAGTAGCAGAGCCTAACTGACACGAGTGTAAGGAAAAAGGAGAGAGTTTAACAAAACCATAGGATCACAGAGGGGGAGCTGGCACTGGACAACTTCGCCAGGTGCTCTCACCACCTCAGAGTCTCTCTTGCTCTCATTCTGATTGTCCTCCCTGGGTTAGTTTCCCTCAAGCATGCACCACACAGCAGGCAGTGCATTGCAAGAAACTCTAAACTCACATTCTTCTAACTTATGCAGCCCCAGGAGGGAAAATCCTACTCTCCACTTCCACCAGCTCCAGTTAGAAACACTCCAGAGAAGTTTACCATTGTCCTGGCTTAGGTTACATGTCCGCCTGTTAGACCAAACCATGTGGCTCACAGGTTAGGACTCATTGCTCTTGCTTCCATTACACATCCCCATTTGTGGCTGAGAAGACAGGATATGCCACATTAAAATTGGAAGAGCCAGTGGCAAGGAGACAAGGACATTGGGAAGTAGCCATACCTTTTATTTTTGAGCTGACTAGAGACTTTGGGATTATACCACACAGAAGTGTTATATTCCTGGGCATGTGCTTTCTTCACCTACTAGTGAAAGGCAGTGCGTAAGTTACAAAAATCCACATCATTGTATCTCACAATTACTACATCAAGAAGTTCAACATTTAATAAAGAAAATAGCAACAACAACAAAACTCGAACTGAAGGGGTTGCCAAGTGCTCTAAGAAAAATACAAGAATCTATTGTAGGTAAATGAATTTGGAGAACCATCTATTCATCCATCCGTCCATCTATCCCTCTATCCATCCATCCATCCATCCATCCATGCATCAGAATCACCCATGGAGCTTTGAAAAACATAGGTAACCATGTAAACCTTCAGAGATGCTGATTTAAGGGTCTGGGCTAGGCTTGGATGTCTGTATTTTTAAAAACTTCTCTGAGACATAGTGCTAAAACTGCAGATACAGTACGTGTTGAAAAGCAGCACTGAAAACAAACAAACTTGGGGCCAGTATATGTTCAATATAAAATGTGTATAACTTTTAGATAACAAAATGTTGGAGAAAATAGAAGAGAAGTGGTAAAAAACAAAACAAAACTTGGTGTTTGGTTTGCTATATTTCAAGTTGAAATGTGAACTGGTGGTGATGATATTACTTCAAACATTCAGATTGTATTGGTTATGTAAGTATGTATTTGAATTATTGGTCCTATCAGTACCCATCTCAGCAGTGGGAAATCACCATCTGTACACAGCTTGTAAGTTTTCTACACTCCTCCTTAGAGAGCTCATAAAAAGACAATGAATACAAGCGGCGTGGGGCATCGGCTTGAACAGATCCTTGAGAGTGGGTTCTCAGTATCTCTCTCTGGAAAGGAATCCCAGCTTCTACCTCGCGTGTCTTATAGAGCCCAGTGCCCGCAGCAAACAGTTTTAGAAGACATACTTTCTTTGTTTTTGAGATGGAGTTTCATTCTTGTTGCCCAGGCTGGAGTGCAGTGGCATGATCTGGGCTCACTGTAACCTCCGCCTTCTGGGTTCAAGCAATTTTCCTGCCTCAGCCTCCTGAGCAGCTGGGATTACAGGCATCTGCCACCACACACGGCTAATTTTTTGTATTTTTAATAGAGATGGGGTTTCACCATGTTGGCCAGGCTGGTCTCGAATTCCTGACCTCAGGTGATCCCCCCGGGCCAGCCTCCCAAAGTGCTGGGATTACAGACGTGAGCCACCATGCCCAGCCACCTTTTTTAGACGTGATGTTTTCAGCAGGTGACAGAAAACCAGTTTTAACCGCTACAACTTAAGGATGTTATCATTCACCAACTAGGGAGTCCAGAAGCAAGTTCGTCTTCAGAATTACTGATTTACATGTTCAGTCATCATGTCTAGGACCCAGAGCTTTCTACCCCTCTGGTCTGTCAGCTACAGCCTCAGCATTATCCTAAACCTCTCCTCCTTTATGGTCATAAGACAGCAAATTGGTTCTTCATGCTTCCTTGTGTATACATAGCCCCAGATCAGGGGAAGAACGGGACTGGGGGTCTGGCTTGTGTCTAGGGAAATGTTTCTCCAAAGCTTCCATCAAAGCACTCCCATCATTGACCAGAATGGGGCAATATGCTTAGTCTCAATCATTGTTGAAAACAATAGGGCTACCAACAGGCTTGCTTCTTGAGTTTAAACTGCTTATTCAAACTACATTACTGATCAGGGAAGGAATAGAATAGATTTAGACAGTATCCACGATGTTCATGCAACAGTGGAAATTAAATGTCCTCCTTTGCTTTTCCATTTCTCCACTTTTGAAGAACTACAGTAGAAATAAAGGGTTAATGACAATAAAGAGATGTGATTATTATTTTCATCGTGGCCATGAAGAGAATAAAAGAACCACAGGGCTAAGAGATATAAAAACCTCCTATCACCACATTCTGAAAGTCTGTCTGTATAAAGGGAAGGAAACAGTTGCTGCTCTTGTGAAGCTGTCTGGCTTAAGGAATGACAGAAAGTGTTTACATGAGGAAGTGCCTGAGAGATGGGCCTTCGAGGATCAGAGTGATCATGAGGGGTTGGGGTTTAAGAGAGTTCGTGAATAGAGGATGGCATGAGTCCAATTGTGGTGGTAGTGAGGACAGACTCTGAGGGCAGCTCACAATCCAGCTCAACTAGAGCAAGCGACATATGTGCACAGAAGAGCAGTGGGATATGAGACCAGAAAGTTCATCTGAAAGATACTGCATCAAACCTCCAGCACCAGACCAAAGACATGGTTGTTCACATGTAGGTTACATGAAACCAGTGAAAGTTTTAGAGAGGAAAATTTAAGTGATTCAAGCTGAACTTTTGTGAATTATCTTGTGTGACCAATGTTAGGTAATCCGGAGGCCAGATTTTGAGGGTGTAAATCAGGATACTAGTGGAAAGAGAGAAGCAGAGGCACTAGATATTATTGATAGAATTCTTGGTGGTCTGGAAACTGACTGGAGGGTGGGGCTGAGGTACACAGGAGAGTTCAGAGTAATCCAAGATTTCAAATGTGGATGCCTAGAAGAAAACAGGGCTTTTTGGGGTGAGTCAGGAGAAGATGTAGGTCTGGGTGGGAAAGTGAAGGGTTGAATTATGTACACATTGATTTCATTCACCAACAGTCATCATATGGTAACAGTCAGATAGTAGCTGGTTAGAACTTTGGGAGAGAAGCCTTGACTAGAGGCATAGATTTTTATTTCCGATAAAGGCAGAGCCTGTGTTGCAACCATGAGCTCATGAGTTAGTCTTCAGGAGAGGGCAACGGACTCTTTATTTGCAAATGCATCATGGGTGATTCCGATGCTCAGAGAGTGTTCATGGCCACAGGCTAAGTGCCCACTTTCTCTGAAAGGACACTTCTGCATGCCCTTCTTGCCAATTCCACTTACAGGCTTGATTTGGACTACATTTCGTCTACATACTTTATGTCAAAAGTCCATTTAGTATATTCTCCTGAATCCCTTTTCTCAACACATTGAGCACATGAAAGCAACTGGAAGGCCTATCACTTTTCTACAACTTCAGCGCTTTTAAAAACCACACATTGCATTTTGTGTGCTGCAAATGCTGTCATAAACAATTCAAGCTCAACTACATTCTTTAAACTGGTCTAAGCAGAGTACCTGTTAGGATTTCCATTCCTGTATTTAAGGGAAGAACAGAAATGTAAATGACCCACACTTTGCACACTCTTTTGTATAGGATTCCAACACAGCATGAATTTGAGGTGAAGAGTTCTGAATCACAGAGTGCTATTCGGGAGGTTTTCGTTATTTGTACACTAGTAAATGTATGCTGCTTTTTGCATTCTTTCTTTTACAGAAGAGAGATTTTAAAAAGAAAAATATGTCCCAATGAGTGTATCAGCTTCTTGATTTTGCCAAGAAACCTTATTTCTGTCCAACACAGAGAGAAAATAGTGCACAAAAAGAGAGTAGTAGTGAGAATATGATAGATAATGCACAAAAGATGGGATCAGAATACATAAGGGAAATCTACAATTTAATCTTAAAATAAAGATCAATAACCTGGTAGTAATATGGGCTATGTTTATGAAGAGGAAGACCACTTAAGAAGCAATATAAATAATCAATAAACAAAATAGCATATGTTGAACTCACCAGTCAATAAAAAAATGTCCACTAAACTAAGAAGGTTCTATTTTTTTTTCACCTATCAGATTGAAAAACTTAAAACTTTGATACTTTGATACAAGTAAGGATGTGGAGACACTTGTAGCATTGATATATTGTTCGTGGGAGTGTAATTGGGCACAGACCTCCAGGGAGTTTGCAGTCTCTGTTTACATTAAAACAGCCACACCCTCCAATCCAGAAATTTCTCTTGCCAGTATCTATTTCATAGGAATGCTCACACATGCACAAAACATACATGTAAAGGGTATGTCACAACATTGCTCATAAGAGTGAGAAATTGAAAACAAAATAGCAAAATAAAAACAGCAGTGAGGTAGGTGATAAGCTGTGATGTATGCATATTATGGAAGACCAGGAGCAGATAAATATAAGAAAGTGCACCTTTATGACGTCTGTTGGGGGGGGGATTATTTATCGAATAAAAAATTAAGAGAATGTGATTTTTTTTTTTTTTTTTTTTTTTTTGAGACGGAGTCTCGCTCTGTCGCCCAGGCTGGAGTGCAGTGGCGGGATCTCGGCTCACTGCAAGCTCTGCCTCCCGGGTTCACGCCATTCTCCTGCCTCAGCCTCCCAAGTAGCTGGGACTACAGGCGCCTGCCACCACGCCTGGTTAATTTTTTGTATTTTTAGTAGAGACGGGGTTTCACCGTTTTAGCCGGGATGGTCTCGATCTCCTGACCTCGTGATCCGCCCGCCTCGGCCTCCCAAAGTGCTGGGATTACAGGCGAGAATGTGATTTATAACTTGAGGATAATAAGTTTATAAACACAAATTGATACTGAATCTTTCCCGAGGGGGCACCTCTGCTTGTAAAAGGATGTAGAAGGTGCAGCAGGATTTCACGGTCACTTCTGATGAGTGGGCAGAGGGCTGCAACTTGAGGTTCTGAAAAGGAATATGAGTCTTGTCTTTAATGCTGAAACCTTGCATCAAAGTGAATTGTATTCACATGTTACATGGGTAAAGAAACTATTAATAATTCAAAAACAATATTGATTATAAGCACTATCTGGTACATATACAAATATCTGAAAGGATGAAATGATTCTGATTTGTTGAATGCAACTTTGTAGAGCCTTATTCTGTTTTCTGACTTTGATGTTTTGTTTTTCTAATTATTTTGAAGTAATTGGATACTTTCAAATGTACTATCTCATTGGTTATTTCCAATTTGTGAGGTAGTGAAAGGCAGGAGGGGTGGGGAGATGATGTAACTGTATTGGAAACTGATTGGATGATGGCACTGACGTACACAGGAGAGTACAGAGTGATCCAAGGTTTCAAGTGTGGATGCCTGGAAGAAAACAGGGTTTTGGGGGTGAGTCAGGAAGAGGTGTAGGTCTGGGTAAGAAAGTGAGGGGTTGAATTATGTACACTGGTCTTTTGCCACCCATGTGACCTTGGAAAGCAGATCTCCCTATTTCTTTGCCCATGGCTCACAATTGGCAGAATCTAAATTAGAACTGAGGTCTTCTGGGGTCAGGTTCACCATATCACTCTTGCTTCTTGTGTCTGTGACTGACAAACTCAATATAATCCTCTTCAAATCATCTGTTTTGGATTAGCCCCACGTGGTTACATGCCGAAGATGCATTCACCTGGGCCAGATGTGCCTCACTCATCTTAGACTTACACAGTGCACTATATTCTTGCTACCATCCAGCACTCTCAGCCTCTCCAGGTCCAAACACATCCCTGAGGTCTGTGCTGGGGAACGGGGAGAAAGATCAATTACCCAACATCTTGCCAACCATATCACAGGCCCTTAGACTAGATCATCCTGTGATCAACAAACTGGGTTATTCAGTTCAAAGGAAAAACATTCCACATTAAGATATGAATTAACAAAAAATGTTTTTCTAAATCCATGAAATAAGGAGTTGCCTTTTCAAACCTCTCATCAAATTCATAATACAATACAAATAAATACACATCAATGGGGAAAATCTCACCAAAGTCTTTTTCATTCTTATACATTTCTTTAGACTGTATTGACTGTATTTTCCCCCCACTCTCAAATT
Organism: Homo sapiens; assembly: GCF_000001405.40. NCBI lineage: Eukaryota > Metazoa > Chordata > Mammalia > Primates > Hominidae > Homo > Homo sapiens. Next base: position 11,219,072 of record NC_000018.10, read on the forward strand.
ATAGTTTGACTTCATTAAGCAAAGCAGCAGAGTTTTTCCCTGGAAGAAATAAGAGACAAGGAATAGCAGGTAGCCTGCGTATTATGAAGTACTAAAGAGGAATCCATATCCCTTTGGCATTCTTGTGCTGTTTTCAGCTTCTCAAAGGAACAGAGGACAGACGTCTTGGAAGGACGGGGCCTCTGGGGACATGGCTGGGTGACCTCTTCTCTCAGCTGAATCTGATGTTGGCAGAGACTGAAAGACACTGTGCAAGTTAGTGATCCACGAAATCATGGCTAATCACATACGCAGTTATATATTTTTAAATGTATCATGAGAAATTCTTGTAAAAGTTTATGCAAATGTTAAATGAAAGAAAACCAGGAACATCCTTGGAAACCGTGGAGGCATCATGAGGAATATGATTCTGCTAAACAAGAAAGATTCAGGACCACTGTTCCCTTGCCACCCACGTGATCTTGAAAAGCAGTTCTCCCTATTTCTTTGTCCATAAACTAAGAGAACAAACTGCTTCATAAATTGTTCCCAGAATCAAATGAAATATTTGTACATAGATTAGTTCTTATTGTTGAGGAAAACTATTTTTAAAAGACAGCATTGTGGAATTTTTGAAATCTGCATTTAATTATCTCTAGAATTGTAAACAGAAAAACATTCTTCATTACATAATTACAGCTACACTTACTGGGAATAAACTCCAAGTTGGTATTTAAGAAGACACAATCAATCAATACACTGTCTCCATAGCCAAATCATTAGGTTGCTGACCTCTGTAGCTCAGACTCTTTTCCATTAAATAAACTAAGAAGCTAGCGTTCTGGGTAATGACTCAATTTTTGTTACATTTTTTTTTGAAATATTGTGAAGTCTTCCTTGGTACAACTTAGCTTTCTCTGATCAAACATAATCTTCACAGAAATGCTAACCCAGGCTCTGAAGTTAAACATCTGTATTTATTTTTAAGGTGTTTGTCCAGATTAAGTATATACCATTGAATTTAGATCATAATCAAAGCTTAAACAAAAATTAGAACATCCTCATGCAAATCTTTAAGAACCTGAGAATAAACCTTTGGATTAAGCTTTAGCATTTTAGGTAAAATCTTTTCTAGGTAAGGACTGAGACTGCACAGTGACCAAAACCTGTTGGAGAGGGGAATATCTCACTCCAATGAGGTGTTCATAGGTAAGAATCAGAGGCCTTGGAGAGCCGAGAGATGGTGTGTCATCCCTCCTTGTCTAGTCTCATGGACTGAGTTTAAATCTTTAGGAGGATCAGTTCTTTCCAGAAGATGCTTTCTGACATTGAACACAAGTAGAACTCCTTTGGCATCTAGGTGAAGAACTGGGCCAGAGTTTGAGATAGTGTCATTTTTACATTTCTGCATAGACCCCAATATGATCTTGCAATTCACAATAGGGGCTTGGGAGCATGAGTAGGCAAAACTCAAATGTTGGGGACTTTGGTATCCTCCAAAGAAGCAGCAGGCTCCTTTAAACAGCTTTGCAGGCAACAGGCAAGGACATAAGGAAGCATGTCAGTGATAATGAGCTGAAGAACACTCTGCTAGCTCATGTGAGACACAATCAGATACAAGACTCCTTTAAACAAGACCAGGCTTTAGGGGAATGGGCTGAGTCCTGTGACTAGGCCACATGCCAGGAGATGGGTGATTAAGAGCATTAGGATTTGTGACAATTGTGTAGAGACTAGAACTGGAATATAGCATATCAATTTTAGCTAGTTACCTACATAGATGGATGTGTGGAACCTCAAAGAGAAAAAGAAAAGAAAAAAATGTTGAAAATATAATAAAATAGCATTTGGTGCATCTGTTAATCTCTTACTTACCTATTTCCCAAGACTATTTAAATGTCCTTCTCTTTAAACACAGTCATGCATTACATAAGGACATTTCGGTCAATGACAGACAACATATACGAAAGGGATCCCACAAGAATGTAAGAGCATATTTTTACTTACATATTTTGCTTACAGTATTCAGTATAGTCATATGTTGTACAGGTTTGTTGCCTTGGACAGTAGGCTACACTGTGTAACCTGTGTGTAGTAAGTTCTGCCATCTGGGTTTGTAAAAACACACCCTATGATGTTGGCACAATGATGAAATTGCCTGATGTCACAGTTTTCAGAACACAGCCCTGTTGTTAAGCAATGCATGAGTGTACTTTTATTTTATTTTCCCCTTTTCACCAAAATTTAATAACTTTAGTTATCTTTACCATAACTCTCTCATGAACATTGATGTAAATAAAACTCAATAAAATTTTAACAAATCAAATTCAACAATGTATCTTTAAAAGGTACATACCAGCCAGGTGTGGTATGTGGTTCGTGCCTGTAAACCCAGCTACTTGGGAGGCCAAGGCAGGAGAACTGCTTGAAGCTGGGAGGCAGAGGTTGCAGTGGGCAGCAATTGCGCCACTGCACTCCAGCCTAGGCAACAGAGCGAGACTCTGTCTGAAAAAATAAAACAAAATAAAATGTACGTACCACAACCAAGTGAGATTTATTCCAAGTACGTAAGTCTGGTTCAACATTTAAAAATCAATTAATATAATCTATTATAGCAAGAAGATAACTGATGCAGAAAAAAATATTTGACAAAATCCAACCCCCTTTAACGATAAAAACTCTCAGAAAACTAGGAGTAGAGGGTAGCTTCCTCAACTTGAAAAAGAATGTCTGCCAAAAAATCTACAGCTAAAATCATACTTAATGTCAAGCAACCAAATGCTTTCCTGAAAAGATCAGGAGCTAAGCTAGGATGACCCTTTCACCACACCTACTTAACATCATACTGGAAGCCCTCACTAGTGCAATAGTGACAAGAAAAGGTAATAAAAAGTAAGCAGATTGGGGAGGAAAAAATAAATTGCCTTTGTTCAAAGATGGCATGATTAACTAAGTAGAAAATCACAAACAATTGACCAAAGAAATCTTCTGGAACTAATAAGCAATCTTAGCATAGTTGCAGAATACAAGGTTAATATACGAAAGTCAATTGTTTTCCTATATACCAGCAATGAACAATTGCAGTTTGAAATTAAAGCAATAAACCAGTTACAACTGCTCAAAAAATAAAATTCTTAAGTACAAACCTACTAAAATATGTACAGGATCTATATACATAAAATATAAAAGTCTGATAAAAGAAATTAAAGAGGATTTAATTAAATGGAGATATATTCCATGCTCATGAATTTGAATTCTCAATATAGTTAAGAGGTTAATTCTGTCCCACAGGATCTGTGGATTCAAGGCAATAGGAATTAAAATTCCAGCAAGCTATTTTGTGGATATTGATAAAATGAATTTAAAGTTTATATGAAAATGTAAAAGAAAAAGAATAGCCAACAGGACACCGAAAAAGAATAAACTCAGTGCACTAACACTACTTGACATCAAGGCTTATGAAATGATGGTAATCAAGACAACACCATGGTACTTGCAAAAGAATGCCTACATGTACCAGTGGAATGGAACACAGAGTCAAGAAATAGGCCCACAGAAATGTAGTTACTAACCATTGACAAGGGAGCAGTGTCAATACAGCAGCGCCATCACTGCTTATAAAAGTGAAGACTCCATACAAGGTAGAAATCTACAAAAATGAGTTGATTGTTTTAAGTGCTGTGTATTTATACAATGGAGTGATGTGGATCTCTATATAAAAATGTCTAGGCTATATTGTAAAGGAAAAGATGGTTCACAAAAATGTTATGCATAGAATCACGCCATTTCTGTAAACATATAACGTGTAAATTCATAGAAAAAACTTGAATCAACATATATCAAACTATGCAGCAGTAATCATCTGTGAATGTGGAATTATAATTGATTTTTACTTTATTCTTTATGTATTTCTAATATTTTTTGAAAATGAAAATATATTAGCTGTTATTTGATATACTTGCCATTAAGATTCTCTGGTCCAGCGTGTCTTCCTCCACAGATGGTAGTATAGGGTGCAGATGGCAAGTTTTCAGTTGTATTGTAGCAATGCTAGGAAGTCAAATATTTAGAATAAGATATTCCCTATTTCCATGAAACATAGAAAGAGTAAATCTATTACAAGGAAGAGAAGAACATAATCTAAAACATGAGCTGCGCCTGCCCCAGTGTCTGCTCCATTATGGAGTACTGCTGCTAGGGGAACAAGAACTCTGCAGAGAGCACGAAAAATGGTCCAAAATCCTCACTGCAGTACAGATAATGGAATGAAAGAGTGAAAATATTTCATGTGCAATTATGGTAGCTTGTTTTTTCCCGATGATATGCAGCAGGGATCAGATCTTCTTTCAATAGTAATTTATGATTAATTTTGTGATAAAATTATGAATGTGTTGTAAGAACTGTAAAAATCAATTGAATATGTTAAGTTGAATCATATGAGGGGATATATAACAGTAGGCTTGGTGCAGTTAAGGGAAATGGAATTATTGGAGCCCCACCCTGGGACTGTTCCCACTGCCAAAGCTGAATGTAAGTCAAGCTCGAACCACAGGAGATGGAAGCCATAAGACCCATCCCAGTGTAAAGGTGTGTACGGGGTGTAACACACCAGGACAATCCTTCCCACAGTGAGGGACAGGGAACCTAGGGGTAGGCAAAGCTTGAGAGTCTGAACAGTCAGGCAGTGATGTCAGAGAAGCTGGATAGAAGGTAGTAGGACCCTAGAGTCCTGTGGGGATGCAGTGGGGAGGTTGGGAAGACTCATGAACAAAAGAAGCTCCACTCCTAAAGGACCCGAGTTGATAGATGGACGAAAGATGGAGTCAGCCACTACTAAGGCAAAAGCCTAATTGTAAGAACTGCGTCCCAAGACCATGGAAGAACGCCTATCCTAAGGGACCTGATTCTGCATCAAGCTGCTTCAGGGCTCCCTATCTAAGGTGCCCACTGGTCCTGAATATTGTGTGTGGGAGCCAGGAAAGGGGGGAACATTCAGACTACAGCTGAAGTCCAAGGAGTCCCCACCTTCAGGAGGATGCAGATGACAGTTTGAGTATCTTTAGAACTAAAGGAGAAAAGGTTATTTATAATGTATGCATTAAAAAAGTAAGAATGCAGGTAATTGGCTAAACAAAAGAGAACATAAAAATAAAATTTCTCCCAAACAATAGGGTCCTTAAAGCAAAGCCTATGGTAGCAAGATCATGGTCGTCTCTCTGTCCATCTCCACCATGTCTACAGCCAGCTGCTGGCCGTGCACATGGCAGTCAGACTAAAGCATTCCGCATTTCTGGACCTCTTCCAACTGCACTGGGCTGGGGTGTGTGCCGGATAAAAGGCTGGCCAAATACCACTGCTGGAGCCTCAAAACAATGGTTTTACGGTGAAGCGTGAAGCCCATCCTGGAGTGCCAACATTCCCGTCTGGGGGGCCATTTGCAAAAGTGCACACATGCCATGTTTTAATTTTCAGAAAAGGTACACACTTTGAGTGCATGGTGATGTAGGTAGAACTGCACATGTGTGCTCATCAATGCAGGGCTATTATTTATTCTGAAATACTTCACGTTGTTGCTTACTCTTCTTAGCTTAAGCCTAAATTGCATGTGAGCACTTCTTTAAAAGGCTGCTTCTCTACAAGAGTGCAGCAGTGGGTTGATCCTCTCCTAGGGAGACTCATCAGAATCTCCATGGGGCCTCTGTCTTTGAAAAATCATATTCAGTTTCACACAATTTTATATTGGAAAAAAATTGTAAGGCCTGGTGTCATCATATCAATGGCAGAAAATAAGTTAACAAAACGTTTTTGACAAGAAGATTTGGGTAAGGTGAACCACATTTGACTTTCTTTGTAATGGCATCTGTTTGGTTGGCAATATTCTCCATCTTCCAACTCCATAAGATCGGGAATTCCTGGAGGACAGGGGTAACAGCAAAAATAATGCTTTCTACATTCACACAGGCTTTGACAAGGTGTTGAAGAGCTTTCCCTACTAGATTCAGCATGCTGAAACAGGGAGCTGCACCGGGACTGTGGACACATTGCCTGGATTCCAGACCTAGCTCCCCCAGGACAAAACTGCATGACTTCGGGCAAGTACCCTCATCTATAACATGGCGACAATAATACCTCATCCTCCTAGGGCTCATAACCCTCATATTGAGTGTGTTAAATGAGTTTTGTAGAAAAAACACTCAGCATAGTTCCGAGCTCCTAGGGGTTGAGATAGAAATATGGGTTGTTGTCACTGGCCATGGGACACACGTGTACTTGTGTGATCCTTGTAACGATCCTGTGACCATCATGGAGGTCAGCTCCATTTTGCACAGAAGAGAAACTGGGTCACAGGAAGCCTTGCCTAAAGCCTAGCAGCTACTGAGAGATGGAGCTAACTCTAGGTCCTAGCACTCCAGACACTGCCCTTTACAGGACCTAGGGTACGTTTTGTTTTCATTCCTGTCAAGGAATTGATTACAAAAATCTTGCTGTTAACTTGGGTCCTTTTTCAGTCTACATCAATCTAGGAGTAAACAAGGTTAACAACAATGTTGTGAAGTAGCGTTTCTCTAGCCCAGACTCACCAGCAATTTGGAAGATTCCAGCCCCCATAAAATTTGCTTGAGCAAGTCTGGGAGTCTCAGGACTGTATGATAGGTCCTCACACATAAGTCTGCTTAGCTATCACTTGATGAGTGACTTTTTCAACATTGACTCCACCTGCCGTGGGGATGTTTCAGCCAAAGCTGCCACCCCAGCGCACCTTCCCCCACCTGCTCACACTCCCTCAACCCAAGCCTCGGCTGCAGCGGCTCCTACTCCAGCTGCTGGGCTGTCTGTCTCACCAGCCCTCCGCCTAGGGCAGGACATAGCCCAAACCTAGGCTAAAGCTGTGACCCATTACTCATGTCGAAAATCAGGAACTTAATTCCTTCTCAATCAATATATTAATTCTTTATTAGTAATAAAATGTTAAAGTATACCTTTCAAAAATGCAAAATCATGACTCTCAGGCAAATACAAAATAAGCACACGTCAAAGACGTTTACTCAAACTCATTAATTAAAGAGGGAGCCAGTAAGTTGTTATGACCACTTCCAAAGGCATTATAGAAGCGAAGGCACTTATGGGAGGATAAAATTTCTGGCTTAGACACAAAATTGATCAATGCCCACTAGGCCTGTAAAGAAAGCAACTATTATTCTAGTGAAGTGTAGAATCTCTCCTATCAAGTCGGTTATAGAAAAGGTAAAAAAAACAAAAACAACAAAAAAAACCTCTTCATACATCTTATTAAGGTTTCTAAGAATTGACCATCTAAATAGAGAGAAACCCAAGTTTTTTTTTACCTTGAATATATGTAATTTTTATTTGTCGATTAGACCACAACATAGTTAAAAAAAAAAAAAAAAGAGAGAGCATATGGAAAAGTAGGGAGGGAAATGAATACAGCAGAAAAGATTGATTAACTTAAAACTGAGTTCTTGAAAAAGACTAATAAGATTCTTTTTTTTTTTACCCTTTTTAAAAAATTTGTTTTTTTAATTATACTTTAAGTTGTAGGGTACGTGTGCACAACGTGCAGATTTGTTACATATGTATACATGTGCCATGTTGGTGTGCTGCACCCTTTAACTCGTCATTTACATTAGGTATATCTCCTAATGTTATCCCTCCCCCCTCCCCCCACCCCACAACAGGCTCCCGTGTGATGTTCCCCTTCCTGCGTCCAAGTGTTCTCATTGTTCAATTTCCACCTATGAGTAAGAACATGTGGTGTTTGGTTTTCTGTCCTTGCGATAGTTTGCTCAGAATGATGGAGAAACCCAAGTTTTTACATAACGATATTTGGAAAAGTTTCACAAGATTTTTTCATCTCCTTATGAATAAATCTATCAAAAATTGGTCAACTTTGGCAAAATTTTAATATATTTTATTACATCTTTCAGATTCACTGTTATAAATCAAAACAGATTATTTACTAACCTTCTACAAGTTTCCATATGAATGCAGATTTTGTTTTTCATTATCTTATCTAACTTTCTGGAATAGCCTAATGACACACCTCTTCTACATTCTTGTTAACTTACTAAAGAAGAATATATCAAACAAAAAAATAGCCCTTACTTGCACAGTTAGATTTCTCTGTTAATATTCCTCATAACAGGGTCTCAGCTACCAGTACAAGTTATAACTTAAAAGCTAACTAACTCTTATTACAAGAAAAAACTGGGAGGCAGAAAATTGAGAAGTACCTGTTGTGTGTAAGTATTTCAGCAGACGAGCAAAGCTAGCAAATGCACACAACACTATTTTGCACAGCCACATAAATCTTTTTTACTTCCTTCCTAAGTGGCATCAGAAACAGCTTTATTAATAGGACATTATAGCATATGAAAATAAGAAGGAAAAGTATGTAATTTTAACATGTTTAGTAAGATTTCAGTATTCAATTTTACTAAGAAAAAAGTGTTTCATAGTCTAAGGAACTTGGGCTATATAAAAGGTAACAATTTCTGTTGATATAAAGGTTTGGTGAATAATTATTTAACTTACTTGAACACAAATGTATTATTTCTATAATCTTAAACATGATGTGGTAGCAGTATTTGCTTTTTGGTCAGTAAGGCAATAAAATGTTTGAGGAATTCAATATAAAACAAATTTCGTGAAGAAAGTGTGAAAACTCAGAATGTTATAAAGTCATACACAAGAGTTTATTATTCACAAATGCAATAATATACATATATGTTATTGCATATATATGCAATATAATATATTGCATATATACACAAATGCAATAATATACATATATTATTGCATATATATGCAATATATTATATTGCAATATATAATATATGTGTGTATATATATACATATTTACTATCTTTCATCTTTACTTTCTTGTACTTTTCTTTTATATACCTTTCTTGGCATAATCTCCTCCTCCTCTGTTCCTATATTTATGCCAAACATATCTTCGAGGAAACCAGAATTGATCACACACACACACACACACACATACACACACACACACACACACACACACACACACACACACACACACACAGCAGGAGGTGGGCAGCCAGTGAGTGAGCATTACCACCTGAACCCCACCTCCTGTCAAATGAGCAGTGGCATTAGATTCTCATAGGAGCGTGAACCCTATTGTCAACACACACACACAATATTACTCCTGCCTGTGCAACACATTCAAATTATCCCTCCTTTTCTGAAATCTTTTTTCCTTAATTCACAACCAAATATGGTGATGGCTGAAAAAGTTAATAGATCACTAAAACGAAATTACTGGTAACTAGCATTGTAGGTGGCTATAGCAGTTAGGTGAATGGGAACGGCTTCTCAGTTATCAGCAAATGTAACAAAAGATTGCCATTAATATACATTGCTTGCAGATAATGTGTAGAAAATCCCAAAACATCAGAAAAAATACTCCCGGAACTAATAAGTGATTATATGAGTGTTGTAGGATATAAGGTTAATATACAAAAGTCAGCTACTTTCCCCTTTCTTAGGAATGAACAATTAGAATGTGAAATTAAACACAGCACCATTTACATTAGCATTAACAAACAAATGAAATACTTAGGAATATATTGAACAAAATATGTATAAAAACCTATGTAAGGAAACTATAAAAACTCTGATGGAGGAAATCAAATATCTAACTGCAACCATATGGCACTCTGGAAAAGGCAAAACTATAGAGATAGTAAAAAGATCAGTGATCGTCAGCAATTTAGAGAAAGGACACAGAGGATGAAAAAACAGGACGTAGGGGATTTTGGGGGTGATGCAGCTAATCTGTATGATACTGGAATGGTGGATGCATGACCATGTACATTTTCCAAAACCCATATAATTATGTAACATAGAATGTAGCCTAATGTAAACTTTAGACTTTAGCTGATAACAGTGTATCAATACTGGTTCATCAATTATGACACATATACCACACTAATGCAAGTGGTTTATAATGGGGGAAACAGGAAGAGAAGGGGGGTAGGGAAGAGAAAATATACTGGAACTCTGCACTGCTCTGTAAACCTAAATGCTACCCTGACACATATTTTTTTAAAATAAGTTCAAGACAGTTTGCAAAACAGACTAATTCTACAGATGTGACCTCCTAATAGGATATACTATCTACTGGCAATCATGTAACATTGACTTTTAAAACAAGGAAACCAATAATGCTTCCTCTTTGGAATGTTGGTATGTTTGATCTCAATAATCAATGAATTTACGTCATAATGGGATCTGTTTTTTTGTGAAACAAGTTGGGAAGGTGGGAGCAAAGTGGAGCTTTTCTAGCACCAGGAGTAGCTGTGGGATCCTGCATGCTGAGATCTCCTCCTTCTCTCTGTTTTCTCTAAATCAAGGCTACAGTAGAACTTTGGGGCATCAAAGAAAGTAATTGCAGGGCAATAAAGTGAGGTGGGTGTTAGAAGATTAAAAGTGAGTTTATATATCTGGACTATATCTCTTTTAGAAATAGGTCATGGTGGTGTGCACATGTGTCTATGTGTGAGAGCATATACGTGCACACACACATGCATTTTTAATGGTCCTCTTATCAATTATTAATATAAACTGAAAGCTATCACTTTAATTGCTTTTCTGGTGTGTGATTTTTCAGTCCTGGATATTGTATGATTGTGATGACTATCTACATTAGTATATAAAAACAAAACTAGGTGATATAAATAAAATTTTAGCAGAGCATAAATTTTATGCTTTTTAGAGAATTATGATCAGAGCTGTTATACATTATATTTGCTAAAAAACAGAAGAAAAAGTAACTATGGGGCCAAGCAGAAAGAGAATTAAAATACAGGAAAAAGACATGAATAAGTAAGGACAATCTTGAATAATGCATAGTTTGCGAAAACTAGTATAGAGAAGATGACCAAAACACCGGTATTCACCTGTTTATGTTCAAACATAATTTACTGTAGTTTCCCTCTTTGAGAAGATTTCATTACACATATAGACTAGTGTGATAATTACTTTTATGTGTCAACTTGACTGGTCTGTGGGATGCCCAAATGTTTGGTTAGGGATTATTCTGGGTGTGTCTGTGAGGGTGCTTCTGGGTGAGATGAACATGTCAATGAGCAAAGCACACTGGCCTCCCCTGTATGTGCACTTCATCTAATCCCTTAAAGCGAGAGTTCCCAACACCCAGGCCACGGACCAGTACCTGTCCATGGCCTCTTAGGAACAAGGCCACACAGCAGGAGATGAGCAGCCAGCGAGTGAGCATTACCACCTGAGCTCCTCCTCCTGTCAGATGGGCAGCTGCATTAGATTCTGTTGGGTGCGTGAACCCTATTGTGAACTGTGCATGTGAGGGATCTAAGTTGCATTATCCTTATGAGAATCTAACTAATGCCTGATGATCTGAGGTGGAACAGTTTCATTCCGAAACCATCCCTGCCCCCTCAGCCCCCAGTCCATGGAAACTTTGTCTTCCATGAAACCAGTTCCTGGTGCCAAACAGTTTGGGGACTGCTGCTTTAAAGGCCTGAATAGAACAAAGGGCTGAGCAAGAGAGAGTTCATTTTCTCTCCCTGACTGTCTTCAAGCTGGGACACTGGTCTTCTCTTGCCTTCAGACTTAGACTGAAACTTACACCATTGGATCTCCTAGTTCTCAGGCCTTCAGACTACAAAGCTTGGAGATTCTGTCTCCAGATTCATGTGAGCCAATTCTTCATTGAATTGAGATATATACATACCTCCAATTTAATGTGTGTGTATGTGTGTGTGTGTGTGTATAGACCATAATTCTCTAAAAATACACACACAGAGACATATATATACACATATACACACACATACACACATATATATGTATATACAAGTATGTACATATGTGTACATTTATATGTGTGTATATATATATTTATGTATATATACATATGTATATGTGTGTGTATATATATGTGTACACACACACATATACATACATACATCCTGTTGGTTCTGCTTCTCTGGAGGACCCTAATACAGCTTGATATATAATTATATCATAAAGCCTAATGATAATCCCAATAATTTTTAAATCTAAAAATCAGAAAAAAGAGGTTTTCTCAAAATTATAAAGAAAGGAAGAAGAGCTATAGACACACCTTCATAATGCATAAAATCATATAATTCAGGTGATCACACTTCAGGTTTTCCACAGCTCTTTGTGTGTTCTTCTTTTGTGAAATGTATCACTTGTGCTGTGGTTGGTGATTTAGTGTCTCTCTCTTATCTCCCCGTTGCTGACCTATGATTTTTTTCCTACAGGGCTAGGAACCATCTTTTTACATCTCTGTATCCAGTGCTCCTAGCATAATACCTGATCCACTGAAGGCACTTTGCTTACATATGACTTTTTTTGCAATGCATAAATAAATAAGAGTTTTCTCAAAGTCAATATAAATAGAACACAGTGGGTAAAATTCAGTTGAAGTTTATCACAGTAAAATAAAATACTGTATTGGGACAAAAACAAAAAATTAAATTACTAGCTTCAAAAAGACAGGAAAAGGTTAAAAATGGCAGACTATGTATAACCCAATTTGAAACAATACAAAAATCCTCCCGTTTAGAATTTCAATCTTATTTATCACTTGATAACTTGAATTTATGTTCTTTTGCTTTTCAAATCAAGTATAATAGGCATATAAAATTAAATAAGTTGTCCAATAACTGAAATTTACTGTTGAAATCCAAGGTAAAAATTGAGTGAGTTTTAAAATAAAAAGGATTTTTATATTATTTGTGGTTTTGTTTTGTTTCAATTTCTAAAAGAAAACTGACAGTAACTGGGGACAAGTCACAGTAAAAATTAAAGTGTTGAGATTCTGATATTAATTTTTCACATACTTCATAAATGTAAGGTTTTATTTTTAGAATATTAATAAAAATGTTCGGTCATAGCTTTTAAATACAGAAACTATCTATGCCTTAAGACTACATGAGAAAGAAGGCAGAAGAAAATCAGACAGTAACATCTAGAAAAAAAAAGGGAAATTTTAGAGTAATAAAACAGGCAATGACCGTGTATTCAATCATCAAGGATACAGGAGAATCATTTTACTATCATGTGTATCTTATATACTTTTTTTTGAGAAGGAGTCTCGCTCTGTCGCTCAGGCTGGAGTGCAGTGGCGGGATCTCGGCTCACGGCAAGCTCCGCCTCCAGAGTTCACGCCATTCTCCTGCCTCAGACTCCCGAGTAGCTGGGACTACAGGCGCCCGCCACCACGCCCGGCTAATTTTTTTTTTTTTTTGTATTTTTAGTAGAGACGGGGTTTCACCATGTTAGCCAGGATAGTCTCGATCTCCTGACCTCGTGATCCGCCCGACTTGGCCTCCCAAAGTACGGGTATTACAGGCGTGAACCACCACGCCTGGCCCTTATATACTTTTTAAAGGCAGGAAAAATGGTGTTCCGTCTATTTGCTACCCAATAAAATATTAAGTCATGTGTAACCAGTGAAACTTAACAGAAGTTCAATATTCAAGAGACTGCCAACTTGATGCGAATATATTTAAAACGGATTTTACCATCAGAAATGACTAGTATAACCTCAGGACCTTTCTTTTCATAACTTTAGTGTCTTTCAAAGCAAAAACTACATTAATAAGTCTCCTACTGAGTGGAAACTAACTCTAATACGTCCGATGTAATCTAATCCTAATGCAAAAATCTTTAATGCACAGTTAAAACAAACAATTCTACCCTAAAGAAAAAATGTCCTAGTGTATCTAAATATCCTCCATGATCATATCAACAAAGGTGAAGCAGTAAACCAGAAAACAAGTATAACTTTTAAGGCTCTTTTATTTTTAAAACAACGGAGATGAAAATGAAATCTCTATAATTACTTTTATTAACTCTATCATAACATTTAATATATTTTAAGTTAGAAAAAATATTGACTTTTTAATAAAACAATGCAAAACAAAATACACAGGATAAGGTACTTCATTCTATCACATATATTTTCAAACTCAATGTTTCTCCATATTTTTATCTTATTTATTTACTTTTAATTGACAAAAAATTTTACATATTTATGGTACACCATGACAAGTTTGAATATATGTATATGTTGTAAATTATTAAATCAAGCTAGTTAACACGTCTATTACCTTACATCTTATCCTTTTGTAGTGAGAACATTGAAAATCTACTTTTTTGGCCAATTTGAAGTATACAACACATTATTATTAACTATGGGCACCATGTTGTATAATAGATCTCCAGAAGGTATTCCTCCTGTCTAATTGAAATTCTGTGTCCTTTAACCAACATCTCCCTGTCCTTCCAGCCCCTCGTATCCACCATTCTATTCTCTGCTTCTAGAAGTTTGCTTTTTGTTTTAGATTCCATATATATGTGAGATCATGCATATTTGTCTTTCTATGCCCGGGTTATTTTACCTAATTAGTATATCTTCTGAATTCATCCATGGTGTCACAGGTAACAGGATTTTCTTCTTTTTTAAGGCTGAAGAGTAATCATTTTTCTTTTTTTTAGCATAAAGTTTACATTTTCTTCATAATCCTACCTTGACTGTTGAAGCCTAACATTGCTTTTGTTCAATAGCATAAACAATGTACTACTCATTTTGGAATTTATTTTATACATACTTGTATTATAGATTCCATTTTATATAAAAGCACATGCTTAGGTTATATACATAATATATAATGTAGTTATGTATATATACACTATATATAATGTAATGTATTTACACACATTATATATGAATTACATATATACATTATATATAATGTAATGTATATATCCACACATGATATATATACATTACATATGCACATATGTAATGTAGTTGAGGTCCAAATTACAAAAGTTAGAGATACCACTCACCTTTAACATTACAACCATTTGGCAAATAAATATTAAACTTCAACCACCTGCCCAGAGCTAGGATGAATAGGTATCTAAATGAACATGTTCCTGATCCCAACATTGCACCTCATCTGACACCTGAGCAGGTGCTTATTTTGGGTTAATGTGACAGAGCCTTAATAAGCCTCCACACAGTTTGGTTAGGGTGATGGTGGGTACAGCAGAATGTCGCGGAAGCCACTCAAAGGAGGCCCAGCCTCATCCAAGGAGGGCAGGAATCCTCTGCTGAGGCTTAAGGTGGCCACACACCACAGTTTGCCAGGACAGTCCTTTCTGGCATATACTATAGTGGCATAATTAATACTCTCACACCTTCCCACTTTCAGACTCATTCCCCTTAGGACTCTAAATTACATGACCAGCCCAGATATGCCAACTGGGTGTCCTTCTTCCCCTGGAAGACAGCGCATTGCTCCAAGTCCTGCATAATTTTTGTATATTTACTCCCTAGCAATCCTTCATGCAGCTTTGGGATGTGATAAGCCATACATACTTAGAAAATGAAACAATTATTAATGTCGTGCGTCCTCTGTGCCAGGTTTATTCACATCGCTTCCACATCTACAACACATAGCATCATCCCCTTTAAAGATGATGGAGAAGCCAAGCCCTCACTCCAGTTCAGCCAGGTAGTGCCAGGCCCAGTGGGACCCTGTCACAGGTGTCTCATGCTGCCTCTCACGTCCACTTCCATCCACCAGGGCAACATGGGGCCCCTGCCTGCTGGTCAGAGGTTCCCTCTGCAGGGCGTCACCTCATGTGGAGCTCTGGAGAGGGCGAGGCCCCTGAGGTTCTGTGGGGCCACTATGTTGTCTGCCCACAGCTCTGGGCTCTCCACAGGCCCTGCACCTCGGGGCCACATGTCCTCATCCTGCCTTGCAGTCAGGGACTGGAAACTCTCTCGGATTAACATCAAGTTCAATGCCAAATTCCTGGGGAAAAGCCCAGGAAACCATGAGTGTCTCCCAAGATCCCAAGACTAGACAGAGTGACTCCCAGGGACCCCTTGTCTTTCCTGCTCCTCCCCTCCCAGGGCTCTCTTATTACCACAGGGAGTTATCTCCGTCTGACCTCATCTTTCACAGGTTGTTATGATGCTTATGTGCCTATTGACTTTTACCCATTCTGCCATGATTTACACTATTTTTTTCTAGGGTGATTTATGTTCAGATTAATTTCACAAGTTATAAAATAAGGTACTACTTGTGGCTTTGTGGCAACAAATAATTTTTTAAAGGAAAAATAAGTTTATACTTCTCAATATCAAGTAGAATACTGTCCAAGTTTATTACAGTGCTAGCCAATTTTACATCTTTTTGTTTGTTTGTTTGTTTAGAGATGGAGTCTCGCTCTGTCACCCAAGCTGGAGCGCAGTAGTGCGATCTCTGCTGACTACAACCTCTGCCTTCTGGGTACAGCGATTCTCCTGCCTCAGCCTTCCCGGTAGCTGGGATTACAGGCACCCACCACCACGCCCGGCTAATTTTTGTATTTTTAGTAGAGACACGGTTTCACCATGTTGGCCAAGGCTGGCCTCGAACTTCTGACCGTAGGTGATCTACCCGCCTCGGCCTCCCAAAGGGCTGGGATTACAGGCGTGAGCCACCGTGCCCGGCCCTACATCTTACAATAGAAAAAATAATAATAAAATATTCTTGTGAATTCTAAAGCACATCAGTGATGGTAAATTTCAAATCTTTGTGTATTCACTATTTAACACATGAACTATTTTATCAGAATTATATTTATGTAATATGTGTGTATTACAGCATAATATGAGCTACAATTATATTCCATAAATGACTCTCTAAAACAAAAACATTGGTCTCAGCATAAATAAAGAAACAATTTGATTCAGCACACTATTAAGTGTTACTGAGGACATCTTGTGTACTGTCAAGGAACAATTTATGGGAAAAAATAAAATATGAATTGATGCCTCATACACACCAGAATTTAAACACTCTTCAAAGAGGAGAAAGCATGCCCAGGGAATACAATTTGGAAAAGTGGAGGCACAGAGGTAGGAAAAAGCAAGACGGCAGAACAGATGGATAGAAAGGAGCCATTGAAGGCATTTTAAACAGTGTTAGATACTTTACCATCTCCATACTTCAATATTAGAAGGAAATCACCATTCCCATCCCTCCTGGAGTCAATTTCTTCAGGATTACAATAAGAGTTCTGCAGAGTATAAAGCAGTAGCTGCCTCGAATGGAATGGCTGGGGACAAATGGAATGGCTGTGTGTGTTAAGAGACAGCAAATTTGAGAGAACATAGGAATAGAGGAGCTATTTGCTACCTACTTTATCTTGGACCCAGCTACCTTGAATGTATGTGAGACAGCCCTCAACTGGGCAGAATGTGTTCAGAAACATGCCGCAAAGTTAATATGAGGCTTCGTTCATGGTCTTTGTTCCTCTAAATAAACCTATAATTTTACTCACAGATATTATCCAATTGAAAGATGATCTTAGAAAACTGTACATAAAATATTTGTGTAGTGTAGTAAATACTACTTAATAGAAAAGACACGTTGCTAAAGACAAACTCAGGTTGAGCATAAATAAGGATGGGAATTTTCAAATAAAAGAAAGGCATGCAGAAATATTTTACCTTAGTTAATATGCAGTTTATTTTATTTTATTTTCCCCATACAACTTCTTATAATAAAAGTTAATTAAGTAGACAATCACTTTTAGCCACCATGTTGAATATATCAATGTTCTAAAGCAGGATTTTTCAAAATGAATTTCTTAAACACCAACCAACAAAATCTTCCTCTTTAACAACTGTAGCATGCATCAACAGGTTTAAGAAGCACCACATATATTACCCCTTCTTGAAAGTACACTGACGTTAGCACACTAGAGTCTTCAGGAAGTCCTGTAATAAGTAAATCTGCTTAGCATTATCAATTTAAAGTGCTGACTTGACCTCTTTGAGCCTTATAAGGCCCCAAAGACCTCGCCTCCCCGTTCTCATCAGATAAGCTCCCCACCTAGCTAATTCCCCTATCAGCTGGGCCGACTGCACTTCTTCTGGTCCTCAATCGAATGGGCTTCAGCTCCCTACCAGCCATAAAATTAAACAAGCCAATTACATCTTCCCATGGGAACCAGGGGTCACCTCACCCTCCTGGTATACATGGCTCTGCTTCCCACAGCCCCTCTGGCTTCCTCTGCCCCTGAGTGCAGCTCTCATGTGGCCCATCACAGTGTGTGATGCCTTCCTGCCCTGGCTGTGAGCATGTATGACTAATAAACTGATGTGCAGCCCATCTGCCCAGTGTTAAGTGTTCTGTGTTTGGCCGCCTTTTGTGCTATTTAAAGTGGGGAGTCCCTCTTCCACCAATGGGGTGAATAGGTGATTGCCACACATGGTTTCCCAACAATTTTTGAAAATAGAACTTTTTTTTTTCCATTGGAATTAGCCTCTTATATACCCCTACACACATTTGGAGAAATGCTATTCTGTGTTTTGGGTAAAGACGGTGGTTAAAGAATTATCTAGGTTTTATGGTATTTGTGTATCTAAACATAGAAAAGGTATAGTAAAATGTGGCATTATATTCTGGGACCACTGTCATATAAGCAGTCTGGCATTGACAAACACGCCCTTTTGTGACACACAACTGTACATCCACCACTTCCAAATTATGTCATATTCTTTCCTCTAAAAGCTTCTACTCTGTGTAAAATGCCCCTCTCTATTCTCAGTTCTCTAAACACAATAGGTTTTATTTTCTAGTGAGCACTCACCACCAAATCACCAGTAGAAAGGAGCAAAAGGAGCAAAACTTTTCACTGAGAAGCTACTATGTGCAGTGAACTCTACTCTCAGAGTACTGAGAGGCACAGTATTTGATTGTTATCCTCAGGCATCTAAGGATTATATGACCTGGCTTGGAAATTTCATTTTACATTAATATATGAAAATGTTTTTTGAGGAGTAGTCATGAATGTCAAAGGGACTTGGGAAGGGAAGATAAAATTTAATTAGTCTCTGAAAGGATGGCAGGACATAGGCAAGGGAGAAAAAGGATAAGGGCACCAAATCGTCTGCAGATGTAACAGCTAAGGCACAGTCACGGGAAAAAGGCAAGTATTTTCAGACTTCTAGCCTATTGTGTTTAGAGAACTGAGAATAGAGAATTTTACACAGAGAAGCTTTTATAGGAAAGAATATTAAATAATTTGGAAGTGGTGGATGTACAGTTGTGCATCGCAAAAGGACGTGTTGGTCAGTGCCAGACTGCTTATATGACAGTGGTCCCATAATATAATGCCACATTTACTGTATCTTTTCTATGTTTAGATACACAAATACTTACATTATGTTCCAATCGCCTACAATATTCAGCACAGTAACCTGCTGTCCAGGTTTGTAGCCTAGGAGCAATGGGCTATATCATACAACCTAGGTGTGTAGTAGGCTGTGCCATCTAGGTAAGTGTAAGTGTGGTCTGTGATGTTCACACAATGACAAAACCAACTAATGATGCACTTCTCTGAATGTATCCTGGTAGTTAAGCAACACGTGACTATAGAACAATTTGAAAGGAATCAAATGACCGGTAATATCCAATAACTTTATCCAGAAGAGAATAAAATGGCCAAGGATGGCTGAGTCAGAAATGATGTGGGAAATGATTAAAGATTCAAATTATTTAAGTAACTGAATAGCAGACATTAAAAAGGGATGTAACAAAACCACTGAAATTCTGAACAAATTAACACATTCTTCCTGCAGTGTCTTTGTTCAGAATTTCAGTGGTTATGTTAAAATTATATGAACTCTAACAAAATAATAACTGAAAATCTTCATATATTTGGAAATTAACAATACCCTTCTAAAAAACTTCATGGGTCAAAAAGCAAGTCTTAAGGGAAATTTTTAAATATTTGAATTGAATAAAATGAAAATATAACCTATCAAAACTTGTGTGATATAGCTAAAGCAAAACTTAGAGGAAAATTTATAGCACTCAGTACTTTTATTAGAAAAGAATAAAGATTTCAAATCAGCACTTTAAGCTTCTGCATCAGGAAAGCAGAAAAAAGAAGAAAATAGACCCAAAACACACAGGAAAAAAGAATATTACAAATAATGGCAGAAATAAATGAAATTGAAAACAAAAAAAGAGTAAACCAACAATTCTTAAAAGATTAATAACACTATAATAAACCTCTAGCCAGACATACAAATATAAAGGAGAAATGGTACAAATTACTAATATAAGGAATGAAAGAAGGAATATCACTATAAACTCATATACATTATAAGAATAATAAGGGAAAATCAACAGAATAAAGTAAGGAGAATTGACATCTTAAATTTAGTCTTCCAATTCACTGATATGTTTAGGTTTTTTATTTCTCTCATCCGCTTTGCATAGTTTTTAGCTTACAGATCCTGAATTTGTTTTGTTAGATATTCAAATATTTTTGAGAACTATTGTACATGATATTTTTCAAATGTCAGTTTCTAATTGTTCTTAATTATTATATTATACCAGCAACTCGCTACATAAAAATTTAACAATTTAGGAAAAAAATGAGCCATTTCCTTAAAAGTAGGAAAAGTAAAAATGTAGCAAAGTAAAATTCACCCAAGATGAAATAGATAACTTGAATAGTCTTATATCTATTAAAGAAATTAAATTTGTAGTTAAAAATCTTATCAAAAAGAACATTCTATGTAGAGATAATTTCGGGAATGCTATAAAACATTTAAAGAAGTAATAACACCAATTCTACACTAATCTGTTTAATAAATAAAAGAGAAGGGAACATTTTACTCATTTTAAATGTTTTCTAATTTCCCTTGAGACCTCCTCTTGACTCATAAGATTTTTTTCTTTTTTGAAAAGGTTGTTGTTTGAGTTCCAAGTATTTGGAGATTTTCCAGTTATTATTATGTTAGAGTTCATATAATTTTAAGATAACTATTGAAATTCTGAACAAAAATACTGTGAGACGTGTCTTTACACATATCCCTTTTTAATAACGAGTATTCATATATCTTGAAAATCAGAACTCTTTGTATTTTATATATTTCATTAGTATGGAATTATTCTCATACAAAAACCACACAGGACATTTCAAGTAAAGAAAACTACAGACCAATACCACTTCATGGACATTGATAACTACACAAAAAGTATTAGCCAATCAAATTCACCAATACATAACAAAAAATACACCATAAAGAAGTATAATTTTTCTTAGAATGCAAGGTTATTCAATAGTCAAAATCAATCAAGAGTAACCCATCAAATTCATAGTCTAAAGAAGAGCAAACCATATTACATCAAATGAGGTAGAACAGGCATTTAAAAATAATCAATATCCATTCATAGTAAACATTCTTGGCAAAGTAGTAATGAAAAAAACTTCCTTAACCTGGTTTTTAAAAAGACATTTCGAAAGCCCACATCTAACTTTATAGTTAGTGGTAAAATACTGACTATTTCTTCCCCACCACCCAGCCCAGGACTAAGAAGGCCGGTATGTTTAATCTCACCACTCCTATAAACATTATATTTAAAATCTTAGTGCAATAAGGCAAGAAAAAGCAATATTGTAAAGGAAAAACAAAAAACTTTTGGTATTCAGAGAATACATATTTTCTACCGGAAAATACCGAAGAATCTACAAAAAATATCTTCTGGAACTAATAAATAAGTTTAACAAGGCCACGGGATACAAGACCATCTCTCAGAAATCAATTGTATTTTTATATAATAATTAAGAACAATTAGAAACCAATATTTGAAAAATAATACCGTATACAATAGTTCTCAAAAATATTTGAATATTTATCTAACAAAACATGTTCAGGATCTGTAAAGCAAAAATTATGCAAAGCTGATGAAAAATCAACAACCTAAATAAATCAGCAAATTGAAAGATCAGATTTAAGATGTCAATTCTCTCCAATTTTTTCTATTGATTATTATCAGAATCAAAATCCCAAGAGGATTTTTTGCAAATATAAGCAGATTCTAAATTTACATGTAAAGAAAAAGGAATGAGAATAAGCACACAATTTTGGAAAAGAACAATAAGGTTGGAGAATTCACACTACCCATTTAAGACAAAGCCATACTAATCAAGATAGTGTGGTATTTGAGAACACATAGTCTTACTTTCTATATGTCAATGGAACAAAATACAAAATTTAGTAATAGGCCCATTCAAATATTCCCTGACTGGTTTTCGACAAAAATAAGAAGGCAATTCGATTGAGTAAGATTAGTCTTATCAACTAGTGTTTTGAACAATTGTACAACCGTACGCAAAAACATGATTCAGGTTAACTAAAGGTGGCTTATAGATGTAAATGTAAAACATAAAACTATACAACTTTTAGAATAAAACCAAGGAAACTTTATGTGACCTTGAGTTCTTAGATTTAACACCACAAGCATTATCCATAAAAGTAAAAAAAAATTAAAAAAGATAAATTGGACTTACTACAATGAGAAAATGCTTTTTCTTCAAAAGACATTAAGAGAACAAAGAGATTCTACAGACAGGGTGAAAATACTTGCAAATAATATATCTGACAGGGGACTTATATCCAGAATAGATGAAAAAATTCTGAAAATAAATAAGAGAAAAATAAATAACCCAATAAAAATGGGCAAAAGATTTGAATAGATGCCAAAGGTGGTATACAGATGGCAAATAAGCACATAAAATAATATTCCATATTATTAGCCTCTAGGGAAACAGAAACTAAAATCGCTATAAGACATCATTGTCCACTTATTAGAATAACGATTTTTAAAAATCATATCACCAAATGCCATTGAGATTATGAAGAAATTGAACTCTCATACACTGCTGATGGAAATGCAACATGGTAGAGCTCCTCTGGGAAAGTCTGGCAGTGTCTTCATAAGACACTCTGTAAGTTGAACACAAGACCTAGCAATCCCACTTACAAGCATTTACCATAGAGAAATTAAAACTTACTTTCTCACAAAAATCTGTACACAAATGTAAATAGCAGCTTTATTCATAATTGTTGAAAACTGGAAACAACTCAGGTGTCCTTCAATAAGCAATGGGTAAACTCTGGCATATCTATACAATGGAACATAATGAAGCAATAAATGAGATCAAGGGACTAATGCACAAAAGAATAGGCATGGATCTCAAAAATGTTATGCTGAGTGGAGAAAAAACCATCTTAAAAGGTTATATCCTGTATGATTCCATTTATGTGACATTCTGGATCACACAAAACTATAGTGAAGGAAATTGGGGATAGCCAGGGCCTTGGGGTGGGGAAGGGTTTGATTTTGTAGGGACTCCCACAGTGAAAGAGTTTTTTGGGATGATAAAAATATTCTGTATCTTGATGGCGGTATTGGTTATAAGAATGTATATGTATGTTAAAACTCAGAATTGTACACCAACAAAGAGTACATTTTATGTGAATTTTTTAAAAACCAGAAATTATAGAACCCGGTGTTGCCTTGATTAGGTAAATGGGTAAGAAGCATATTGTTCAGAAGGAAAGGCATTGTTTTTATGAGTAGTCTGGACAGGAAGATAACTGGGGAGAGTAATGAGGGTATAAATTACTCTTATTATAACATATACTATATGAATTGAGATAGGAGATAGGGAACAAAGAAAAAGATCACCAGCCTGTTCCATCCAGCCCAGAATGAATGAGCAGCTGACAGTGTTAGTGGCACTGGGATGGCCTTATTAATCATTCATTCAGTAAATATTTACAGAGTACCTACTGTGTGCCAGACTGTAATCCAGATGCTAGAAATAGAGCAGTGAATAAAGTAAAGTCCCTTTCTTGAGGGCTCATTGTCTAACACGCCACAGGTGAGGAAAGGTGCTATGAAAATCCCAGCAGAGTAAGGAGCACAGAGGGAAATCGGGAGGTGGTATGGTCACCAGTGTGGAGTGCTCCCAGGGGAGTGATCTCTGCTCTGGGTGTGTCAATCTGACAAGGGGACACATGAGAAGGGGCCTAAGTGAAGCCAGTGGGAGGGGGACTTGAGATTTTTTATCTGAGGGAACAAACAGCACAAGCTTTCAGAAAACTGTAGGCCTGGCCGGGTGTGGTGGCTCACGCTTTTAATCCCAGCACTTTGGGAGGCCAAGGCAGGTGGATCACCTGAGGCCAGGAGTTGAAGACCAGCCTGACCAACATGGTGAAACTCCGTCTCTACCAAAAATACAAAAATTAGCTAGGCGTGGTGGCACGCACCTGTAATCCCAGCTACTCTGGAGGCTGAGGCAGGAGAGTCGCTTTAACTCGGGAGGCAGAGGTTGCAGTGAGCCAAGATCGCTCCACTGCACTCCATCCTGGACAACAAGAGCAAAACTCCGTCCTCCGCCAAAACAAAAAACAAAAAACAAAAAACTGTGGGCCCCCCAAGTCCGGCAAGCACAGAGGTTGGTGAGGCTGGAGCAACGTGGGTGAGGGAGCTGTTGGGAAGGAAGTCAGGGATGAGGCAGGCATCCTATCAAGGAGACCCCAAAGGGCCATGGTGAAGGCTAGAGTTTCCTCTCAGCCCTTCCACCAAGGGCTGTGAGCAGAGGGGTGACGGAGTCTGAGTTATGTTCTGAAAGAATCTTCTGGGTAAAGTGTGGACACTGATATTCAGGAGATTAAGAGGAGAAACAGAGCGATCAGTTGAGAGGCAATTTCAGGAGCCTCCTGAGAGCTGCTGAGGCCTGCACTGGAGAGGGAGCAGAGCAAGTCCTGAGAAGGGGTTATGTTTGGATGCCCCTCAAAGTTAGATGCAAGAGAATCGCGTGAAATGGGATGTGGTTTGTGTGGCGGGGATGGACTTCAAGGTTTGGAGCTTGAGTAGCAGGGTGCCAAAGAGAGCCATTTAGTGAAATGGGGCATGATTTGAGAGGTGTTTGAAGGGATCAGGAGTTCAATTTGACTATGTTAAATATGAGATGATGATGAGACATCCACGTGGAAATGCTAAGCGGGCAATGGGATTTGTGAGTCTGGCGCTTGGGGTAGAAATCAAGGTTTGAGATAAAATTAGTGACTGGGTTATTTCAGATGGGAACTTGATCATAATAAATAGTGTGTTAGAAGAATTAGTTTGCTGTTTCATGAAAGTAAATTAGAGAGAACCTGAAGGTAGAGACCTGTAAGGAAACTCATGCACTTGACCTGGCTCTGGGAGGAGAGGAGGCTGGGAACGCTTTAGCATCAATGGACAAGCAGAGACAGCAGTGATGAAGTTGTTCACTGAACCAAAGGGGAATATCTCAAATACATTTGTTTGTAGCCTTCAATGAGCAAAAGCTCTGTATGAGCAAAAAGGTAGTATCACTCAAGAAATGGAACTTTCAGAAGCCAACTTAAGGATTTGATAAACACCCCCAACTTAGCAGGAAATTGGTCTTGCCACTTCTCTTCTACCAAGGAAAGGATGCCAAGCCAAGTTATCATTTGATCAATGCAGTTCTTTCTCTTGCTTTTTGCTTCATTATCAAAACCAAAGAACTGATGTGATTATTGCAAACTTCTGGATATTAAAGTCACTAAAATGTGCTTGAGTAAAGAATATTAAAATTATCTTTTTTTGAATTCTTGACACATAATTGAAATGAATACTTGAATAAAAAGTCATTTCTGAAATTAGGAAGAACTTCATTTTTATGGTAGGAACATGCTAGACAATGGACCAACAAAAAAAAATTCCAAATCTTTACTAAGGCTGCAGAAAGCCAATTTTAATTAACTAAATAATTAACAACTTCTTCCCTTTTCCTCCCAATCTCCCTCAAGAAAAAGATATGAAAACTGTCCGAGTCCATTTCTGCTGCTATAACAAAATACCTTAGGCTGGATAGCTTATAAATAACAAAAATCTGTTTTTTATGATTTTGGAGGCTGGAAAGCTTAAGATCAAGGCACCAGCAGACTTGGTGTCTGGTGAGGGCCTGTTCCACGTTGATGGCAATTTCTTGCTGGGTCCTCACGGGGCGGAAAGGCAAAAGGAACTAACATTGTGTCCTCACAATTGCAGAAGAAATGGAAGGACCAGGCAACTGTCTGGAGCCTCTTTTATGAGGGCATTAATCCCATTCACCAGGGTGCGGCCATCATGGCTTAATCATTTCCCAAAAGACCCCACCTCTTAACACTATTGCATTTGGGATTAAGTTTTGCCATAAATTTCTGAGGGACACAGACATTCAAAGTATAGGAGAAACACATGCACACACACACACACACACACACACACACACACACAGACACCCCTTCCCCCTACAGACACTAGTATTTTCCCCATCATTATGTGATAATTATAAAAATATTTAGTAGAACACAGTTGTATAGCGAGAAATTTATATCTACATACTTAAGGGCTACTTAAGGCTTTTCCTAAATATTTGTATAAACACAGCCTAGAAGTCCTGGGCAATACTTTATTCCCAGATCAACTGAGGGAAAAATAGCAGTTTGGAATAATATCCCTGACGCTAATGTAAAATAAAATAATGGCAGATAATAATTATAAAGGAGTACTTCTAGTCACCCTTCTGAAGAATGAGCTTTTATTTATTTGTCCTTCAACTTTCCTGTTGTCATTTGCCTAATTTATTGAATAGACCAATTCCCTATATGTGGAACTGAAGATTAAATTTACTACTGGAAAGATGGGGGAAAGATCTGACTATGTCCAAATAACTTCATACAACTGATTGAAAATGAAAGCATTTTTTTCCATTTGTGGTAAAAGTTCAAATCAAAAACTTAATATTTAGCTTAATTCGTGGGTCATACCTCTACTGGTTTTACTACAACAATTAAAACCGGAGATTCCAGGTCTCTTATGATAATCACACATCACTTCTTCCTTGGTAGGTTCTGGCCTCTGTAAGTACTGCTTCAATCCCATCCTTGAAGTTGGCTCTGGAAATTCCAACGGCCTGTATTCCACAACTAATACATCTTGCAAAGTTCATGGAAATACCATCGACAGAGTGTCTCATCTTGAAAGCTGGGCTGCAGACCATTTTTTTTTATTTGCAATTAATTATCTCCAGCTGTTGGACAGCAAAGAAAGAACACTCTAACTTAAAGCATCAGATGAATATTCCTCATGCCCTGGGGTGCAAAGTTCATTTTGCTCATGTGAACTCCACAGAATTGGAAGGGAATTGAGCAGCATTTAAGCCAACATTCCCAGCTTTGCAGGAGAAAAGTGAGGCTCAGAGACAGTGAGTTATATGCCCAAAGTTAAACTTCTTTTCATTAGTGGTTGATCCAGAACATACTCTGAGTCTAGAGGGTTCGTATGATCTGTTACATGGTATGTTTCTCTTAATTTTTTTTAAGCTTCTTAATTAGGAATTCCAGATAACCACAACCTACCCTCAGTTGTATATTGCTAAGGATTGAGTGCAGGGTTGTGTCTATGTGTGTGTGGTGGGCAGGCATGGGAGAGTAGGGGATGGAAGAGACGACAACTATGAAGGAGTTACATGTGCAAAGGTGAACCCTGAAGTGCATTTTAGCCAGTGGGTACATGTCCTGTCAAATCATTTCTGAGAGCTACTGAAGAAGAGAACAAAATGGCCATCATGAGTTTTGTTTCATCTCCCTGCTCTTGCCACGACCTCTTCTGAGAATGATGTAATGCGATGACTCGGACAAAGGGTGAGCCGTTGGAGGGGAAAATAAGAAAGGGAAAGAGACTGGAATCCCTAGAGTACAGCCGCTCATTCCTAAGCATTGGCTACAAAATTACATTTGGAGAGTATTGAAATGCCATCAAACCTTTAGGTAATACGAGTCAAGAATTAATAACGTAAGCATTTTGCTCAGTCCCACAATCATAAGGTACTAGGTAACAACTAACTTTGTTTCAAAAAGCCCTCTAAGGTACTGAGACACACCTGTCATTAGGAATCAAATTCCCCTGGGGACACACATCGATGACCATCAAGCCGCTCATCAAGTGCGCAATGAGAAGCACTGTGTCTTCCGTTTATAGCATCGTCTCTTTCCTCCAGGAGCTTGGCAGCGACACTGATGAGCAATGAGATTACTTGAAGGGATCAAAGGCGAGTCTGTGTTCCACTCTACAGCACAGAAATGCTGCAAAATTATGGTAAATTATGTCAGTACGTCTTCGTGCTGTTCCAAGCTCTCATCTGTAAAATGTTAACAGTAATCTGTGAAATGCAAACCACATATTTTCTTGTGTTCTTACAGCATAGAGAGGATTCATGAGCTCATGGCCACCAAAAAGCCCACTGTTATTGTGGAGCTACTTGGGGGGGACCCACCATCCCAGCCAGTCATAACCAGGCCTGTGGCTCTCTGGAAGCTCCCACTGCTACCCTCTGCCATTGCTGCTGAAGACCAGGTAACCCACTACCTGGACATCATGCTCTCTCACACACCTCTTACATGACACACACACACACCTCACACCTGACAACATACACCTCACACCACACACATGATCACACACACTTCACACCACACACATGCTCACACACACTTCACACTTCACACCACTCACCTCACACTACACATATACACACCTCACACATCTCACACCACACACATGCTCACACACTTCACACCTCATATATGGTTACACACACCTTACACCTCACACATCTCACACCACACTCACACCTCACACCACACACTTTCACACACTCATATACCACACACACATCATACACACACCACACACACATCACACACACCACACACTACACACACAATCACACACACATTCCTTGCACCATACCCACACCACAACCCACACACTCACACACCTCATACCTCACACATATCACACACCCCACACACTATTGCACAGACTCTTCACACCATACCAGCACCACACCCCACACACTCACACACACCTCACACCACACACACATCACACACACCACACACTACACACATACTATCTCACATGCACTCTTCATACCATACCAACACCACACCCCACACACACCTCACACCACACACACCACACACTACACACACTCCTCACACCAGACCCATGTCACACACACTCTCACAGGCCACACACACTCCCTCTCCTCACGCTCCCCACACTGCGGTTGTGCCCCTGCTGCTATGAGCCGAGCTGCCCTCACCCTGAGGCATGGGGGAGCTGCTGCCTTGGCCTGTGTACTCTCTCCTCACCCAGCTCCTGGGTGCCTTTCAGTCATCCTCAGAGCTCCTAGTCACATCCTGCAATCTCCATCCAGCTTTGCCGGTTCCCCTGAAGGCCTGAGGCCTTGTGAGAGGTGAAGCCAGCTGGACTTCCTGGGTCGAGTGGGGACTTGGATAACTTTTCTGTCTTACAAGAGGATTGTAAAACCCACCAATCAGCGCTCTGTAGCTAACAAGGGGATAGTAAAATGCACTAATCAGCCCTCTGTAAAAACGTACCAATCAGTGCCCTGTAGCTAGCAAGAGGATTGTAAAACACACCAATCAGCAGGATCCTAAAAGTAGCCAATCACAAAGAAGATTGAAAACGGGCATTCTAATAGGACAGAAACAGAACATGGGAGGGGACAAATAAGGGAATAAAACCTGGCCACCCCAGCCAGCAGCAGCAACCTGCTTGGTCCACGCTGTGGAAGCTTTGTTCTTTCGCTCTTCACAGTAAATCTTGCTGCTGCTCACTCTTTGGGTCCATGCCACCTTTAAGAGCTGTAATACTCACTGTGAAGGTCTGCGGCTTCATTCTTGAAGTCAGCAAGACCACGAACCCACTGGCAGGAACAAACTCCAGGCTCACTTCCATAGAACCCTGTGCAGGGGTCTGCAAGAGCCCTTGATTGGCGGGCTGGGGGCATTGTGTTCTCTTGCCTGTTTTCTTCTCTACATTGTCTTTATCTCCAGAACACAGCACATACTCGGTGTTCAACAAATTAAATCCATGAATGATGATTGAGTGATTGAGTGAATGATGGAGTGGATTTTGCACAAAGAGAATCACTTGGGGAGAGGCATTCTGTAAACCTGGGATATTCTGCCTTTAACCAGAAAACTCTCAGAAGTGATCGCTGGAACAATTTATCCATCATCCAGTTAAACCAGAGAGCTTCAGTGAACTCAACACATTTTCACTACCACCAGTGTGAACACCCCACTGCACACACATGCACACACACACACATTCTCTCTTTTCTCTCTCTCTCTGTTTCCTGGGAACCTTTGTGGTTATCAGCAAAGTCTTCACTTTTGGACACACATTCACGTACCATGGAACACCACGCTATGAAGTGTGTAATACACAGATGGACTTAAACAGCAGAATGAGCGGTGGCACCACTCAAAGGTAGTTGTTGCTTTTGAGCTGAGATCTGAGGATGGCACCCTATCTCTTTTCACATTGTTGAGACGTCTCTTCATTCCCACATCTCTACCCACCTTCCTTGCCAAGAAAATTGCCTTTAATTTGAGTTCTTAATTGAGGGTTTTTAAATGCTCCTTTTTTGGCAAATATGCTCATTTTGCAAAATTGTTACTTATCAAGTCCAAGAAACCCTTTAGCCAAGAATCATAAACCTTCAGTGTTTCTTGGACTCTGACTTTTTGTTAAGCTCTCAGAGCATTCACTTCTGTCACATATTAACTCTCTCCCTCTCCTGTCATTTCCATGCAGGAAGCTGCCTCCTGTACCTGCTCTCTATCTGCTTCTGGAAATTTCAAATTATGAATCTCTTGCATGTGAGAACATTTAGGAATTCTCCTTTTTTGTTTCAGTGCGACATGCAATGTAAATGGCAGGCTAAACGGGAAAGAATACAAGCTGCAAGTCACAAGTGGGTGTGCTGATCCCTCCACCTTCCCATGGGAGTTCACAGACCCACAGCTGCCCTGACTTACCAGCTTGAAGAGCATCTGTGAGGTTGAGAAGATTATATTATTTCGTTTGTTAAAGTAAATGCATCAGTTAGGACTCTGGTTTTCAAATAATACCAACTCACCTCAAACTCTACAAAGAAAAGCTTATGATGAAGATATTGGGAGGTCAGAGACCGAGGGCAATTGGTGGGGCTGGCTCCCAGGCTCAGCTGGCATCAGTATTTTCTCTCTCTCTCCTTCCGTTCAGATGCAGCTGATTCCTCCTCAGGACAGGTAGCTCCCTCTGCTTCTGGGTGTGCCACACCACCACCTTTTTCTGACCTTTGTATCAGAAGATGGAAGCATCCAGAAAAGACTTATCCTCATTTTTCTGTCTTAAAATGTCTAAAGAGGGGGGTTTTTAACCCGCATTGGGTTCAATGCCCACCCCTGGACAAATAACAAATAACCAGGAGGTGAGGTTACCATACTTCTATGGTGGTTCCCACAGTAGTCACGTGAATAGAGATTGGGCAGAGAAGTTTTAGAAGGGGATGCTGGGTAAATCAGTAGTTATCGATGTATCTAGGACAAAATAGTGCCTACCTCTGTGTGTCACAGATATAACCAAGGTGCATCGTTAGTTATACCTTAGCTTCCTCCCTCAACCTAGTTTATACCAACTCCCTACTTCCCCTAACACACACACACACTGGGCAAAGAACCCATTCCCATATGCAGGCTAGAGAGCATGCCTTGGAAAACACTGGTCTACATCACTAGTGAATTCATAATTTTAAAAAAATGCTAAACAAATGAAGCTCATTGGGAAATGCTAACCCTTGATCCCTAGACCTATTGGATATTTTGTCTAAAACTTCACTAAATTCTTCTTTTCTTACCCAAAACGCTGACTTTATGATTTTTTTTTTGCAAAGTATGCCTGAAATAGAAATAACAGTGTCTGTGATTTCTGGAGTAGTTTTTTCTTTCTCCCATTTTTCAGTTGCTGAAATAGTTTCCATCAAATCTTCTCTGTGCATAGTTTACCCATCGAAAGATAGAGGTAGGTGAGGCAGAATTTTTATCATGATGGCAGAACCATGGTGAATAATACTGTATGTTAAGAGCAGGCTAAATTTGGTGATATATTCCATTATTCTTAAATAAATCATTTGTAAATATAGGAATACAATTTTTATTATCAGACTTCGGGTCTTCTCATAAGATCAGTAGTTCACACAATGAAGTACAGAGGATATACGGGGGTCGGAGGGAACTGTGTTAAACAAAATCATGCCCTTTCAGCCAGGTGTGGGAGAGATGTAGTTCTAAGAAGACATTTAAAGTTATTTTTCCTGCTGTCCCAGTTTTGGCTAAGGACCCAAAGTGTGAGATTTTACTAAGGCCCCAAAATCATTACATTACCTGTCAAGTCTGATCACATGATAAGAGAGGCCACTAGACCACCGATGAGTCCCTTGCTAAGAGATTATACAATAGGTCCTTATGGTACTAGCCCATCACCCACCTCCAGACTGTAAGAGATAGTAAATCATTCACTGTGGAGCCTGAAAAGAACAGCAATTGGGATTCCATTGAAAATCAATATTCCTGTGCCCTGTGTTTTTCTGTCTCATAGGCAGAGGGATAGGTATATCCAAGTGAAGGTGGCATCCAGAGAACCACAGCTTGGCACTTGCTTCCTAGAACACAAAGGACACAATTACTTGTGTCCTGATCATACCAGAGAACTGTAAAGGTAGGTGTTGGCTGGCTGCCTGGGGATGGCAGAGTGAGGGGAGGTGGAAACTGTAATGGCAGTGTTAAGCAGCAAAGCTTGCAAAAGTTCTGTGGGCCAGAGGCCAACTCCACCGCAGAGTCTGAGTCCTCTTGAGAGAGACTCCAGCCAAGTAGACTGCTTGGAGGATGAGTTGAATTCAAGAAAGAATAAACCACAAGAAATAAGTCTGACAAAGACATCAAAGGCAGCCAATTAGAGAAAGAAGGACACACCCAAGAAGGAGAACCCCAGTGATATGGTTGGTCTTCAAAAAAAATTCAGAAGATCCCCTAGGAAAGAAAGAATCAACTTTTAGAATCCACAAGACCCAGATAAGTAAGATAGTTCCTCTTCCTTACCTCTCTTCCCAACCTTCAACTAGAATCTTGGACAGATTCCAAAGCAGCAATGAGTAGGAGAGGAAGTGAGGCCAGAAAGAGAAAAAATATCAACACTGACCTCTTCCTACTGCAGGCTTCCCAGGGTGAGTTGGGCCTCGTGTGCCAATGGAATCAGGATGTGAGTGTGGACATTACATTGAACTGGAGTTTAGCAACTTCGAAAACAAAAACTATTTTCCTTTTACCTAATAGTGATTGGAATTCACAAAACATGTCAGCATCCACTTAAAATGCTCTCAAATATATGTTCTTGTGGGAGACAAAAACCTACGTATAAGATATAGTTCTTACTATCAAGAAACTTGAGTATAGTAGACAGGACATAGGAAGTAAATAAACCATGATGTTGCCGAATGAATGAGGACAAGTTCTAGAGCGACGGGGGAGCTAAAATGTTAAAAGAATTCAAAGGAAGGAGGAAGTACTTTTTGCCTAGATTTTTAGCAAGGCTTCATTGAGGAGGCAGATTTTAGCTGAGCCCTAAACTGTGGGAAAAAGCTGGACACTTAGAGGGGGAAGGTGCATTCCAGCAAGGGAAGTGTAGGAGCCAAATAATGGGGAAAGATGCGGGGAGCAGAGTCCTATGCCTAGTATCTCTGGTCTGACAGGAGCGGCAGGTAGGGAGGAGGAGTGGTCACGTGGAGGCATCGCTATACTGTTCCTCACAAGGCATAGCTATGCTGCCCCACCGTGCGGGACACTGGCACCATGCCTGCTGAACCGGAAGCACGCTGCACCGAGCCTTTTATTGAGGTCTGTGCTACAAATCTACATATCAAGAGTACATATTTTAACCAACCCTTGCAATTTGAAGAGGGAACAATGAACAAAAAGAAGTCTTGAGATCTATACCTTCCCCATCAGAAATGTAACTAGGGCAACCCCACCATAATCTCAGGACCAATGAGAAAAGTCCCAAGTTTGGAGTCTGTTCCAGAGGGTCTTTAAATGGCAGGTATGATTAGAAGCCCTAATTTTAGACATTATATCATCATGTATTTCAGCATCAGTAGCATTAACTATCTTGCATATGTTTCATGCTAAATATGAATATTACATTCAACCAGATTTACTGACCTCAAACGAAATCATCTAAAATCCCTAAGATTTCTGAGAATGCTAATCCAATTACCTCCAATACCTGTACACTTAATTGAAACTATTGAATAGTTTTTACTTCTATGTAATTTTTAAAAAACTAATCCAAATTCAAGATCTATAGCAACTATTCAACCATTTTTCTAGAAAACATATTCAGATGGTGACTAACTTGGAATAGACAGTGTTTCATCAAATTTAAGGCACTTCATGGTTTCAGAGAAAACAAAATCTGAAAAAAATGTGTTTTAGAATTAATGAGATCTAATATATATTTTCTATGTGTAAGAATGAAAGTAAAATATTTTTCATAAGGATCTATATCTTGATAGTATCATTTCTAATGGGAAAAACTGAGATAAGTCAATTATTTTATTTAAAAATAATACTATAGCACTGGGCAAGTCCCTCCAAGTGAACAATCTAATTGAAAAAATGCTAAAAAACAGTGATAACCAAATTGTTGCCAACAAGGTATATAATGGGGTGCTACAAGGTGAGATTAAATTATCTATCTATCTACCCACTCATCCATCCATCTATCTTCCAGAAGTATAGACAGGAGTTGTCATATAAGAGCATCTCTTCACTGTGGGAAAGTTCTCCCATATATATGGACAGATAAGCCCTGTAGCCTTTCCTAGCCCTGAAGGAATGTTTGAAGTTGAACTTTATTTTAAATCGGTGCTCTACTACCATCTGTCAGGTGGAACAAAGGTATTCTTTGCTTGACATGCAGCCCTCTGGAGGGGGTTGAGCTGGTCTGCATAGGAAGGGATTAAAACTCCCCTTCTTTCATACGTTTAATGTTAAGGCTATCGCAGAATGAATAATGGAAAGTAAGGATGTATCTATACCAAACACAATTTATTGTCCTGCATTCAATACCAAAAGTTCACAGATCAATTTTTTATTACTAATGCAGAAATAAGAATATACTTGTCCTCAATATTACTAGTTCAACTTTAAGTGCTTTACCTGAAAAAAGATCTAGGCCGAAAAGTACAATAGGTGCTTTGAAGGGAAATTCAAAATAAACAAAAGGGTATATGGGCTGTTGGCTGGAGTTCAAGAAAGCCCAGAAGAGGGGGGATTAGCTTGTCCTCACGTGCATGTGGGTACATTTGGGGGCGTTGCCTACCCACAACCTCAGAGTCATGCTTGGGAGTGACGGTGAAACTTCTAAAGGGAAATAAGACGTGTTTGTTTAACATCAGGCAATGGGTAGAAAATCTGCCTTGGTCTTATTTTGCCCTTGAAGAAAAGAGTGATAAAAGATAAAATAGTAGAAATATACCCCGATCGTGTCTTGAAGCCAAGGAGAATACCAATATTGTCCCTTTTTAGCACTGTCCCTTAAGCAGAGTTACCTCAATGAGGGAAAGAAAGGGGGTCTGATTTCCTCTTTTATGGGAGGTTGTGAAACAGAAAAAATACAAAAAACAAATAATAACACTGCAACTCGAAAACTAAGCTAGTAAATGTAAAACAAATATTGTGACATCACCAAAAACTAGAGCACCTGTCATAAATGATGTCTGTGTGTGCACAGACACTTGCCCAGTGGCCACAAGAACCAGTTCCTTGAGGACCCCAGGCTATCCAAAAATATTTAAGTGTTTTGTAGGGATTGTATCATTACAACATTTTAAAAAATAATTAGCACTCATGGAAATGACCATATTTTTATAACTTGTTCCACATTCTTGGATCACTCAGAACTGGAAATAATTATGTTAATAAAGGTGCTCAAAGAATAAGATTTTTCTTTTAGAAAAGTGAGGAGTAATATCAAACCCCAGCTGAGTGGCTGCCATCCATGGATTTCCAGTATGTATTAAAAGTGGTCAAAAAACTCTTTTGATATTAACTTAGCACAAATAAGTATGCATCTCCTCATAAGTAAGGTTTTCAAAAAATACATAAGAGCCAAATTTTGAGACATCTGATCAGTAACGCCCTTCTACCAGAAGCATGACCCTGAATACCACCAGCAGATCCCAGTTCTCCAATTACAGCACCTTTATTTCCTAGCTGAGCCCCAGAGAATCTGAGGCAAGAGCCAGAGGTGATGTAAGTAGTCCAGGACAAAATTCACATACAGGGCACATACAGGGATGCCTGTATGTGAATACAGGTGAATACAGGTTAATTACAGGGTAATTAACCCTGTGGGATGTCTTGAATGGTGATAATCATCCCTGTATGTGAATACAGGTGATTACAGGTTAATTACAGGATAATTAACCCTGTGGGTTCTCTTGAATGGTGATAATTACCCCTTTATGTGAATTTCCTTTCATAAAGTAGACACCGACCATCTTCGTGGCATTTCACATCTTAGAATTACATTGGAGAATAAGTCAGTCACAGTGAGAGAGTGACCTATAAATGGTCTGAAGTCTTGAGCCATGTTAAATTAGATTTATTTTTAAAGCAGTTGGATTTTATCCCATTATGATATACCCCAAATTTATTATAGAAATGTATTCTTGTGATTAAAAGTGTTCATTTTGTTACAAAAAATCAATTAAAAAACAGTGAAAACGTTTGTGACATCCTAGCCAAGGACGCCAAGGTTGATGAAAGGGAAGCATTATGCTCATCTTGCCAGATAGACTATTATAGGCCATGTCTTTCAACCTTTTCTGTCTCCTGCCCACACAATTTAAAAGGTCAAGAATGAATTTTGATTCTACACTAGAAAGACATTTCTAGAATATAGTTGATTTGTGCCATCCACAAAATCAAAGAAAGGAAATAAATGAATGTTTTCCAGCTTTTCCTCCACTCTGAGCCTTCTTTCTTTACATCCTTGACAACTGAATGCCCAAGCACAATGGCGAAATGAAAAGAAATGAACAGCATCTTCCACCAGCAGGATCCATTTCTTTGAGATACTCTAAGATTTTTCTTAGCATTCCTGGCATTTTGAGACTTGGAAAATGGTCATTCCCCTAATTCCAATCGAAGTGGATGAGAGCAAGAGTGAAATATGAACAGTGGGCAGTGGTTGTGAGTCCTGGAGTGAAACGTGCTGTCGTCATGTCTTCAGGATGTCAGAATAAATGTTTGATATAAAATAGTAAGGTTTTAGTACATATTTGAACCTTTCAATTATGCTTCAATATTTTGTAAATACCAGAGTGAAAACAAATTATATGGACAGATTTGATAACAAACACAGGATAATATTCTGCTTTGATGAATCATTTGATCCTAGTCACTAGTTTCAGTGACAAACTCAGCCCCTGATTTCTGGGTGCCACAGCTTCACATTTCAAGAAAGAAAGCCAAAATCAAATTCAATGACAACATGTGAAGGAAGTGCTCACAACATGTCCAGAAATGCATTTTGGCAGACAATAACAGCTATTGCCTTCAAAGTTTTATGCAGTTCTGAAAAATGAGGTTTGGATTTAAACAAGTCTGATGCTAAGTTAGAAAGAGATAGGTAATCAGATGGTGTCAAAATGCAGCATTATCAATGCAATGATGAAGTTATTTCAATTGAGACCTCTATTCAGAGGTCATGCAACAAGTTCTAAGATAAAGCAAATCAACCACAAAGCATGGTCAGGTAAAAAGGGATGCAGAAGGAGGCATCGCTGCCTGATAATCTCCCTTCTACCCTAAAGTGGTCCTTGGCTGATGGTCAGGGTGAGCGTGAGTCCATTAACCACTCCTTCAACATATCATTGGTCCAAACTGCAAGGATGGCTCCAAAGTGCTAGAAGCACTTTGGGGGAGGGAACAAATCAGAAGGAAGGGCAGTTGGTTACACAAGTGTGGGTTAAGATGCGGAGATTATAGAGGAACTTTTATTTCTTATGGCCAATAAGAACACATCTTCAATGAATCACAGTTTTTCCATTCTAATCCTTTACTACATTTTAAAAAGACTCTAAAATACTGAGCTTTTCAGCCAGTTGCAGGGCTTTATTTTCCTAATCCATAATTACAATATTAAAAAAGCTTTTGAAATATTGAGAATTACAGCTTTAGAAGTTATTTTAAGAACTTTTCTTAAAGCTTCTTCATGG
The DNA here is from genome assembly GCF_000001405.40 of Homo sapiens. Classification (NCBI taxonomy): domain Eukaryota; kingdom Metazoa; phylum Chordata; class Mammalia; order Primates; family Hominidae; genus Homo; species Homo sapiens. Next base: position 11,257,172 of record NC_000018.10, read on the forward strand.
TTTCTCAGTATCCATCTTTCCTAGCACACAGGAACCTCACTGTAGGCATTACTAGCACATATGATTATTTGTTCACAGGGTAGGACCATGGCTTTTTTAAAGCAGAACTGACAGTGGAAAATACTTTATTATCTTCAAGCATTATTTCTCAGGCATGGAGTCAAAAAGAGGTGAAACAGGATCAGAAAATTTCTCTTCAGTATCCTTCCGTGCCTTCTATCAGTGCCTGCTCCCCTCCCCTCCTTGATGCCTGCTTGTCTTTGTTCTCCAGTCTCCCGGTTGGGCAGGCCAAGGCCACCCCACAGTTATTCATGTTTCAAATGCTCAGAGACTTGTATGAAGTCTGTCTCCCTCTCCTTGTGGGAAGAGATGGTATTGTCCACTGTTATGTGCCCCGCTGGCATCTGGAGCATGTCCACAGTGCATATACCTCTGGGAGACCTAGCAATGAGGTACAGTAGCTGCCCACTCAGGGTTTGGATAAGACCAAGAGGCCACTATGAGGCTGCCCTCTCTTACACCAGCACTGACTGTGAAGCCCAGACTTCTTGGTTACTGCCAATGCCCTACTCTGAATTGCTCTTCTCAAGTCCTACCTAGAGTGACCTTTTCTGCTCTCCTTTAATTCTCCTTCTCTCTCCTTTCCACTCATATTGACATATTGATTATTTTACCTACAACAGCATCCCTTGTGCAATATGCAAATATATTTAACTCTAAGCCTGCCTTCCCCTTAAAACTTGCAGAAACGACATAAAAGCAAATATAATTATCTGCAATGGCATAAAGTGGTAGATATACGCTATACCAAAGAACTTAAAAAAAACCTAACATGTACTAAAAACTTAGCATGATGCAGGAGAGTAACTAGAGAAAGAATCTGATGAGTTAAAAAAAAAAAGAAACCAAAAGGAGTAGGCATTTCCATTGCAGTTAGATGGGAATTTGATTTTTACAAAGTAGAAAGAAAACAAGCAACAGAACAGGACTGTATCAGAGAGATAAAATCTCATAAAGAGGAAATCCAGCATGGATGGCTCCTTTCCATTTGGGATTAATTGACTAGTACTCTTGAGAAGGCCTAACACTAATTAGAAACAGAGCATGAACTGGAAGATTTTTCATTTCACTCTTTCAGTGTGAGACACATCAAAATTCCAGTTTCCAAATGACTGCTTCTGTTCATATTTCTTCACTGTTATGAGTTCATTCCAAGTTTCTAACTGCCACCTCTCCAAACTCTCATTTCAATTCTTCTGCACATTCATTTTAACATTTCATTGTTCTCTTGAAAGAGGAAGGAGCAGTATCTGTTTATGCATGCTCTGTTTTAATCGATTTGTCTCAGCAATTATCATTATTATTGCTCCAGAGGATGCTAAAGAGACTGCTGCTTTGTTGAGAGGAGTGTGCTAGATGCCTGTGGAATGCAGCTCTCTCTCCCACTGTGCCACTCCGAGGGTTCCCCAGAGATTTCCCTGCATGGGTGAAAAGCTAGGGTCTTATTGGCCTTGGGATTAATTTCCAAGGCCTGTTTTAAGACAAGGCAACCCTTCCTCTAGCAGACTTATTTATCATTGACCTAGAGCAACCTAGAAAAGAACCTGAAGGCAGCCTGGTTGCAGTGAACGTGGCCTGGAGGCTTCCTGACATTCCCAACCAAAATTTACAAGCAGCACTAGCTCTCCAGCCCTACCAGTGAGCCATTGTCACAGCACTTTTGCCGTCCTCTTGAAAGCTATTCTTCAAGATTTGAAAATGATTGTTGAACGTAACATTGATTGTTTTTACATTGCTACAATCTGGAAATTCATAAATCCAATGTGGAGATAATACGCTAAACAGAAACTGTTGATTCACTGAAAAAATATCAGGGAGGCCGGGCGCGGTGGCTCACGCCTGTAATCCCAGCACTTTGGGAGGCCGAGGCGGGTGGATCATGAGGTCAGGAGATCGAGACCATCCTGGCTAACACGGTGAAACCCCGTCTCTACTAAAAATACAAAAAATTAGCCGGGCGCGGTGGCGGGCGCCTGTAGTCCCAGCTACTCGGGAGGCTGAGGCAGGAGAATGGCGTGAACCCGGGAGGCGGAGCTTGCAGTGAGCCGAGATCGCGCCCCTGCAGTCCGCAGTCCGGCCTGGGCGACAGAGCGAGACTCCGTCTCAAAAAAAAAAAAAAAAAAAAAAAAAAAAAAATCAGGTAATCTTTGGCCAAATTGAACTACCAAGCAAATGATTTTTCTTCCTTTTTTTCCCCTTTCTTTCTTTTGGATCCCACTAGTCAAAAATCATTAATTCATAAATATTTCCTGAGCATATATTCTGCTGTGGGCACTGCCTAGGCACTAGGGATAAAACAGGAAGTGAAACCGATTGGGAACAAGTGGACAGACTACGCCCATATCTGGGGAAGAGAAATCCAGGCAGAGGAAACAGCAAATGCAAACGCTGCAGGAAGTGAGCTGTGCCTGGCGTATACTAGGAACAGGAAAAGAGCCAGGCTTGTCGGGGAGAGGGACAAGGTCAGGGAGGCCGCTGGAAGGACTCTGGTTTTCATTTCATGTGAAACGGGAAGCCCTCAGCAGGTTTGATGCAGAAGAGTTACAGCATATGACTTTGGTTTTAACGGGATCTCTTAGGCTGCTGTGCGAAGACCAGACGTTAGGGAGGCTATGCCTGTTGCATTTTGTAACCATCCTCATTTTTTAAACTTTTAGGACATTGTGTCAAATCACATAGTTGTGTTCTTTGAATATCTGAAATGATATAAAGTACAGCCAGCCTGAAGTAATCAGTGACTGAAACCCAAACTCTAAAAACAAAAAAGCCACTTTTGTTTTTCAGATTACAGCAAAGATTTGATTAGCCCTAAGGAATGAAATGTGTTGATTAATTCCCTCTTCTGATTAACTGATGAGTTAATCTGCTGAGAAAACAAATAGGAAAGAAAACTATCCATCTCCTTGCCTTTAATAAGCAAAATATATGAAGCATAATTAAGGCTATTGTGATGGTAGAATCTTCCTCATACTTCAAGTCAGTGTTGGAAATATGTAAAGTGACAGATGGTTCTTGAGCTGGGATGATGAAAAGACAGGCTTGGGGGGCCAGGCATGGCAGCTCACGCCTGTAATCCCAGCACTTTGGAAGGCCAACGCAGACGAATCACTTGAAGTTAGGAGTTCGAGGGCAACCTGGCCAACATGGGAAAACCCGATTTCTACTAAAAATTCAAAAAGTAGCCAGGTATGGTTGTGCATGCCTGCAATCCCAGCTACTTGAGAGGCTGAGACAGGAGAATCACTTGAACCTGGGAGGTGGAGGCTGCAGTGAGCCGAGATCACACCACTGCACTCCAGCCTGGGCAACAGATTGACACTCCGTCTCAAATTAAAAAAAAAAAAAAAGAAAAGAAAAGAAAAGAAGAAAAAGACAGGCCTGGGGACAGGACAGAAACAAATAGGAAAGAAAACTATCCATCTCCCTGTCTTTAATAAGCAAAATATATGAAGCATAATTAAGGCTATTGTGATGGTAGAATCTTCCTCATACTTCAAGTCAGTGTTGGAAATACGTAAAGTGACAGAAAAAGCCGGGACAATGAAAAGACAGGCTTAGGGACAGAAGGGAGGTTTGGGGAGCATGGTCTCAGGAGGGAGGGGAAGAAGCACCACAAGGACACTTGAGAAATTTTCTGCTGCAGAATTAACTCTTTTAACTGAGCTAAATCAATGTGATTCTGTGCTACATGGAAATGAGAGAAGACGCTCGCAGAAGGAAGCATCCAGACATACTCTTCAGTCCGCATCCCAGCGAAAGGCCAACAGGAGCCACTCTCCTTGCTTTGCTTGCAGGCTCCAATGTTCTCAGGTTGGTTCATGTGTCAGCCTGTACTGTTTTACCTACGTCAACTCATACCATTTATCTCTGTTATAATTCCTGTTTTCTGGGCACACTCACAAAATAAACTGGTTCTCAGTGAAATTTTTTAGACCATAGCCAAATTACTCTGCAAACACAGGTTGATCTTTCCCAGAACTCCTGTTATTTTAATAATGTAACTGTCATCAGAGAGCACTGTCTGACTCTGAAAGCCTTCTAAGTGTTTTCTTTTTTCTCCCAAGTGATTGAGTTGCTTCTTTGTTCTCTGCAATTACCCAGCAGGGAAGGCTGCTGAGCCCCTGGATTTAGACACTGGGATAAAATTCCTAAGCTTAGGAGCAGCTGCACCAGCCACTAAGCACCACAGTCAACTTATCCTTTTAGCCTTTTAGAAGCCATAGGTGCAGTTGCATAAGCTGAGACTAGTGCAGTTTATTAAATGGAAGTGAATATAAATATCTCATGACAAGCTATAAATTCATTTACATACTGTGCAGTAATAAGCTAACACCTCTCTAAATATCAGTTTAAGACGTCTGGGCAATTGAACTGGATGTATATGCATTAAAACAGGCCTGGATAGGTGGCAAAAACACCCATGTATTATTCATGGAGTTCCACTTCCCTTGCTGATCTATACCATGGCAGGCAGGCAGAGTGCCGGCTTCTGCTGAGCAGTACAGCAACCTGCAATCTGTGCAATCTTGGCCAAAATACTGAAAAGCAATTACTTATTCAAGATTATCTTTTGCAGTTTTTCTTACTTTAGAGCTTTGTAATTTTTAGCTAGAAATGAAAAAATGAAGGATTTTTTTTTTTTCTGGAGAACTGTTGGAGACACTTTATTGACTCAATCCCTGACCAATGGAAGACACGCTTCACAATTAACATTGTTGTCTAAGGCTATTTCAGCCATTCTATCAATGCCTTCATTTTCTTCTCTTGAATGCTCCATATTCAGCTTCTCACTCATCACTATGAATGTCAATTAATAGTAAATTAACTATCATTTCGGAGTCAAGTAGTGGGGAAAAGAAATTAATGATGAAAATGGATATACACCAAATGGAGTATGATATTACTATTTACTGGCTTTATCCTGTCTTTCTAACAGCACAGAAAGGAATTAGTTGATGTTTCATAGGTTGCCTAGACTCTAAAACCAAACTTGAGGCATCAGGTATTGGGCAACCCTGTTCACTGTTGATTTCTCTCCAGTACAATATAAGCACAAGGAGAGTAGGGATTTTTACCTTTTGCATTCTTGTCGATTATCCCAGCCCTGAAAACGGATCCCTTAGTGAAGAGGCAATGCACAGCAAATATCTGCTGAGTGAATGAAACACCACAGGTATGTTCAGCATGGCAAGGAGCATACCCCAAATCATGACATTGGCAAGCCTTCCAACCTCTGAGAACCACATAAAGCCCACTGGTTTGTAAAAAGAGCTCTCGGGTTCTCAAGACTGAATCGTTTCCTATGTGACCAAAAACAAGGTACTTAGTGTCACTAAGGTTTGGTTTCTTCATCTTTCAAATGGGCAGATTGATATCTACTCTATAAAATATATGGCATCATTTTTAGGATAAAAATTATATATTCTATACATATATAGTGTTTTTTTTTTTTTTTTTGAGACAGAGTCTTGCTCTGTCGCCCAGGCTGGAGTGCAGTGCTGTGATCTCTGCTCACTGAAATCTCTGCCTCCTGGGTTCAAGCAATTCTTCTGCTTCAGCCTCCCATGTAGCTAGGACTACCGGCATGTGCCACCATGCCCAGCTAATTTTTGTATTTTTAGTAGAGACAGGGTTTCACCATATTGGCCAGGCCGGTCTTGAACCCCTCACCTCATGATCTGCTTGCCTTGGCCTCCCAAAGTGCTGGGATTACAGGCATGAGCCACTGCACCTGGCCAAATAAAATAATTTTTTTTTTTGAGATGGAGCGTCACTCCGTTGCCCAGGCTGGAGTGCAGTGGCGCGATCTTGGCTCACTGCAAGCTCAGCCTTCTGGGTTCATGCCATTCTCTTGCCTCAGCCTACTGAGTAGCTGGGACTACAGGCGCCCGCCACCATGCCTGGCTAATTTTTTGTATTTTTAGTGAGACAGGGTTTCACCATGTTAGCCAGGATGGTCTTGATCTCCTGACCTCATGAACCACCCACCTCGGCCTCCCAAAGTGCTGGGATTACAGGTGTGAGCCACCACGCCCAGCCTAAAATAATATTTTTAAGAAAATAAATTAATATTTGTGAAAATACTCTGAAAAAAACTGGACAAACATAAGGTATTATTATTTATAATTATTTTTACTTATAATAATAATTATTATTGAATTAACTATCCCCTCAGTATTAACCATTGCCTCAGCTATAGTAAATAAAGCTCATCTTCCTTAGTTCTATTTGCTGATTATTTGCCTTCTTAATTCACTTCCTGTTTCTCTTGCATTAATACAAGAGAACAGAAATAAAATACAGTTTATTTCTGTAACTGGGAACACCCTGTTCCCAGAAGGCTGGAGAAAATATCTACAGACCAACTCAAAATTACAACATTTTCCACTGTTTATACACCTTCTAAGCTATATGTCTACGTGTAAGTGGGCATTCATCTAAAGACACAAGTGATTGATTCCTTCTAATCTGTAGCTAAGGTCTGAGTCCTGGAGATCTTCCTCCAGAGCCTCAGCAAATTTACTTAATCTAGATGGGTCTTGGAGCCAGAGGTGGTTACCTATCGGGGGAACCCACCCCCAATATTTCAACATAGGTTCTTTCTATTTTCCTTAAGTGTCAGCTGGTCTAAGAAATAAAGAGAAAGAGTACAAAGAGAGGAATTTTACAGCTGGGCCTCCAGAGATGACATCACATATCGGTAGGACGATGATGCCCACCTGAGCCGCAAAATCAGCAAGTTTTTACTAAGGATTTCAAAAGGAGAGGGGGTGTACAAACAGGGAGTAGGTCACATGCTTTAAGAGGCAAAAAGCAGAGCAAAGATCACATGCTTCTGAGGCCAATAAAGATCACAATGCAAAGGGCAAAGCAAAGATCACAAGGCAAAGGGCAAAATCAAAAACTGATAAGGGTCTATGTTCAGCTATGCATGTATTTTCTTGATAAACATCTTAAACAACAGAAAACATGGTTTCAGAACAGAGAATCGGTCTGAACTCAAATTTACCAGGGAACATTTTTTTCCCCACTCCAATAAGCCTGAGGGTACTGCAGGAGACCAGGGCATATTTCAGTCCTTACTCAACTGCATAAGACAGACACTCCCAGAATGGCCATTTATAGACCTCCCCCAGGAATGCACTTCTTTTCCTAGGATCTTAATATTCCTTGCTAGGAAAAGAATTTAGTGATATCTCTCCTACTTGCACATCCATTTATTGGCTTTCTGCAAGAAGAAAAATATGGCTCTTTTTGCCCGACCCTGCAGGCAGTCAGACCGTATGGTTGTCTTCCCTTGTTCCCTAAAATCGCTGTTATTCTGTTCTTTTTCAAGGTGCACTGATTTCATATTGTTCAAACACACGTTTTACAATCAATTTGTACAGTTAATGCAATCATCACAGTGGACCTGAGGTGACGTACATCCTCAGTTTACAAAGATAACAGGATTAAGAGATTAAAGTAAGACAGGCATAAGAAATTATAAGAGTATTATTAGGGAAGTGATAAATGTCCATGAAATCTTCACAATTTATGTTCCTCTGCCATGGCTCCAGCCGGTCCCTCCGTTTGGGGTCCCTGACTTCCCGCAACAATTATCCTTATTTTTTCTTCTGCTAAAGTATGGAGGTCTGGGGAGTTCATTTAGACCCCAATAAAACCTGTTTAATCCTAAATGGGTCCTGGTAGGAGGAATGTGAGAATTCCTTCATTTCCTTTTTTTTTAATTTTTTTTGAGACGGAGTCTCGCTGTCGCCCAGGCTGGAGTGCAGTGGCACGATCTCAGCTCACTGCAAGCTCCACCTCCTGGGTTCATGCCATTCTCCTGCCTCAGCCTCCCAAGTAGCTGGGACTAAAGGCACCAGCTACCATGCCCGGCTAATTTTTTTTTTTTTTTTTTGTATTTTTAGTAGAGATGGAGTTTCACCATGTTAGCCAGGATGGTCTGGATCTGCTGACCTCGTGATCCACCTGCCTCAGCCTCCCAAAGTGCTGGGATTACAGGCATGAGCCACCACACCTGGCCAAATTCCTTCATTTTCTTGTCATGCTTCAAGGCCGAGAAAGGCCTAGGCAAGACTCTTGGTGGGCCTTTATTTCATTCCAGTCTTTGTCTAAGGGCACTGGCTTTCTCAGCCTTTAATATTTAACCTAACCATTCAGTCAGTGCCGAAATTGTTGTTGTGGAGGCCTGCTTTTTTAGCTTTTGTGAGACCTGGTTTGCCACAAAAGCAAAATAAAAATTAGCTAAGGGGATATTTTGACATCTGTTCTCATTTTCTTCCTTTGCCATGTGGATCTTCTGCCCTGAATAATATTACATTTGCTTCCAAAAGTTAAAAAGATTTTGCCCAGCTCTTGCTGAATGAGTATCTCCATGTTTCAAAATTGCTTGTGGTTAAATAAACTTTAGAGTTAGAGCAATCATAATACTTGCCCCTGTTGATTAAATATCTTCCACAAGGCAAGAGCTAAAGAAGTATATCTTTATATGCATTACAGTCCTTCCTCATATTCTGTGGAGGATTGGTTCCAGGACCACTCAGAATGCCAAAATCCTAGTATGCTCAAGTTCCTGATATCAAATGACACAGTGTTTGCATATAACATAACATGCATCCTTCTGTATACTTTAAAGCATCTCTAGATTACTTATAATACCTAATACAATGCAAATTACATGTAAATAGTTGTTATACTGTATTGTTTTTATTTGTACTTTTATTATTGCACTGTCATTTTTTATTGTTACCTCCCAATATATATGATCCAAAGTTGGTTGAATCCCTGAATGTGGAAGCTGAGGATACTGAGGACACTGTACTTTACTTAATAACATAAAGGCAGGTAAATATTGTAGCTAATAGCATGGATCTGAGAACAAGAATCAGCTCAGTCACTTACTAGCTTTAAGACAATCTCACTATCCCTACTTTCCCCATTTTTAAACTGGAGATTATAACAAAACACCTACCTTAAAGGATTTTTTAAAATATTAAATTAATGAACATATCAAGCAGTTAAATGCATGAAGTACATTTAAAAAACAGGAAAAAATAAGGATTGTGTAAGGTTAGCTGTCATCATTAATAATCTTCACACCAGATATGTATTTTTAGTGAGTTTTATAGACTTTTTAGTCTGAAGCCAGAGTTGTTACATTACACAGTGAGTAAGTAATGGCTCACAAATTCAACTCAAGACTGCCTGACTCCATAGCCCAGATTCATTTAACTATTACTGTCTACATACCCAAAAAACATATTCTTCAACAATAAATTGTTTTCATACTGTTAAAGTCAATTCACCAGACATTATTTAACATCTGCCACATAGAATTTTTGTGTTGTTGCAAGGCTATTTCCTCTAAACTTACCCTGTTGAGTTTAGGAATAAGAGGACAAAGTTATGACAGGGAGGAATTTAGAGGAAGATTGTGGGCTCCCTAAGATTAACAAAGAGGGAATATTCTATGTTATATTCACAGTGCACCTTGAGTTGAATGTGTTAAATTTAAAAGGTTGATGAAGAAACGATTCTAATCCAATTAGAGTGTGATGAGAAGAATCGATGTACAAAAACAGTGCCATCAGACATGATTGGATAGAGAACGCTTCTGGCACATTTGGATAGAGAACACTTCCTCCCATGCTGCTCCCATCAAGTTCATGTTTTGATGGGGAAAGCAGCAATAAGCCAAATACATATCGGTCTGGCGTGCCAGGCTAGACGATTCTAGTGCAATGGACATGAAGGAGGAGAGAGGTGAAGGCACAGTCTTCAGTCGGTTGTTCAAGAAAGGCCTCACTGAAGTGGTGTGGGGAAGGGCTGGAGAATGAACTGGGGTATCCGTTGATAAGATGACATGCGTGCTGGCTTATGAAACTGATATGGTTTTCAGGGACCCACAGAGTGAGATAAGAGGTGCATAAATGCAGAAAACAATTTGAGTAAAGACCAAGAGGCTGAAAAGCAAAGAAACATCAGGTCTATAAAGGAGTGAAGTGTAGTAGAAAATAAGGCATAAAAGCTACTTTGGCACAATATTAAAGCAGGTCTTGGCAACAAGGCTGAGTTTAGATTTATTCTCTATGGCTTTTAGGGTTGACGAGAAGAGACTGATATGTTTGGACCTATGCCTGGGAAAAAGCTCTGATGCCTCTATGGAGACCAGTATGGGGGTGGGAGCAAGCAGGGAAGGAGCACAGGATGGGTTGGGAGGCCACTGTGAGTCACGCAGGTGAAAAGCAGATCTGTTCTAGGGGGAAATACAGAAGAGAAGATGGGACATACGACTTAGATATAGTAGCAATATGATTTAGTGACTGGATGACAGGAATGAAGGAGAGATGGGACTGAAAAATGAATAGAGGTTTAGGTTGAGCACCTAGAAGAAGGCTAGTGCATTTTACTGAGGAAAGAGGCAGAAGAAAGCAGTCTCTTTTTCCTGGATTTTAGTAGAAACAGAAGTAGGGCCAGAGATAGTCAAGAGCGCCATTCTGGACACACTGAGTCAAGGTTCTATGCCTGCATCTGAAAGGAGATGCCCACAGGCAGCTGAGAACAGGATGGACTAAAGAAGGCAGGCCAGAGGCCAGTGTTTGGGAGTCACAGAAGGGTGGCAGTCAACAGAGGGGAGAAGATGAACCCCCAGGGGAGAGGGCCCAGAACAACTGAAGATGGAAACTCTGATTTCAATGTGGAACTGAAGAGGGAAAACCAGGAAAAGAAACTCAGAAGGAACTATCATGGAGATAATAACAGGAAAAAAGTATCTCAGAAATCAGTGGATCAGAGTTGAGAACAAATACGAAAAATGAGATTGGGGGTGGGTGGAGAACATGAAGGAAGGATGGATTGGACCCATTACCACAAAGAAGCAGAGAGGAAGAGAAACCTCTAGGTTCGTTCAGTAAAACACTGTGAGGAAAGAACATTGAATTTAAACAATTTCTCCTGTTGCATTAACTCAAGGGAAAAATAGCCCCAAAGAACTTCACGAGTATGCTTTAATTGCAAATGAATGTCTTTGAGGGAGATTTAAGTAGTTTTGAATGCCCTATGGCTTAACTCACACAAATCATAGCATGAAATATTTAAAACCATAAATCAAAACAGCTGGCTAAGTCATTCTGTTTTTTTCTATTTACCTATCTTCCCCTGTAAAAGCAGGTTAATTTATGTCCTAGGTGTCTATTTACACTTTAATTTAACAACAATATATATTTTCTCCACTCTCAGGGTACTCGTTGTTAAAGTACTGCAGCACTGAATGAATAGTCCTTTGTTTTCATTTTTTTCTTATTCTTTGAAAACTAATTGTTTATCCCTTTGAATTTTAAAAACATTGAAAGAGTAAAAAAGATGGCAATTTGTCTGAAATAAGAATGTGCTGTAAAAAAAGAAAAGGCTCCCCAGACAGCGTTTTCGTATTATTGAGCATTTAGTAAGAAAAACATTCAAAAATAACCAACATCCGTGGAACTGTGGACTCTGCAAATCTGTCACTAAATTCCAAAGGAGAAACAGGCTAAATCCGTTAGACGATGCATTGCTTAATCTTGCCTTCTTAATCAACTACAGCATTGAAAAATGCAGACATGATTATGAATTGCTGCTGATAGTTGAGTGTTCACAGCAGAGAGTTTGTTCTTAACTGTTTTTCTACTGCCAAGTAGCGCTCAACTGCAGCACTTTAAATTATGTGCTCCATGATGAAATTGGATGTTCTGCTTTTTAGGTTTTCATCCAGCTAAGATCATGTTTGGGGAGAAGCCAATTCTAGATGCAGTTTTCTGCCTATGAGTTGGAAAATCCGAGTTAACTAAAGTTCAGGAAGTTTAGAAAGACTGATTACAGAGACTAGCCTTGCCTGTTTGGTGGCTCAGGGCATCCACAGGACACCCTAACCTCAGCTGGGTCAGGTCGGCAGGCGGCATGATCGTTCGGCATGATTGTCAGCTCCCATCAGTGGGGCGTCATTTCCTTTCTCACAGAAGATCCTTAATAAATACAGGTTAATTCGGTTTTGTCTTCTTAAGAAATTCTGTGTTTTAGTTCCAGAGATCCATATTTAGTGAAGATAGTACTAAACTGCACTTTGACTTTTCAAAATGAAAATTCCTTTCAAATGTTTATCTCTTGCTTCACTGTAGAAACAATTCCAGGAGGCGCGCCAGGCTTATGGACTTCAATTATTCTACCAGAAAACCGAAGAGCCGAGCATTCTAATACCTTCACAGTGGTCACACAGCTCACTCGGTCGACACTGGGAGGGAAACCCAGACTTGCTGACTCCCAGGAATGCACTCTCCCTGACCTGCGGTACAGGCTGCCTTGCATGCAGTGTCTGCACAGCTTGAAATTCCAATTTCAAAATGAAAAGAAACTTACAGTATCTCTAAGCCTAGAAGCAGTGATGGAAAAAAATCTCAAATATAAACCCTAAATCAAAAAAGGGAAGAAACTAACCTCAAAAATTAAGAATTATAGATAGTGAGAGAACGTTTCCGGCATAGAAGCCTATGGCCAGGATGGATGGGTGGAAGTAGAGAAAATGAATCTGCCAACACTTTCGTTCTGTTCACTGGTTTTCTAGTCCAGGGGCTGGCAAATTTTTTTCTGTAAAGATATAAGTATGTTAATCCAAGCACTTTGAGAGGCTGAGGTGGGCGGATCATCTGAGGTCGGGAGTTGGAGACCAGCCTGGCCAACATGGTGAAATCCCGTCTCTACTAAAAATACAAAAATTAGCTGGGTGTGGTGGGGGGCACCTGTAATCCCAGCTACTTGGGAGACTGAGGCAGGAGAATCACTTGAACCCGGGAGGCGGAGGTTACAGTGAGCTGAGATCACACCACTGCACCCCAGCCTGGGTGATAAAGCGAGACTCTGTCTCACAAAAAAAAAAAAAAAAAATATATATATATATATATATGTGTGTGTGTGTGTGTGTGTGTGTGTATTTTAGGCTTGGTGGGCCATATGACGGTAGCAATTATGTTCTGCCATTGTTGTGCAAAAGCAGTCATGAAAAATATGTCAACAAATGAGCCTGGCTTTATTCAGATAAATTTTCTTTACGAGGGCATCACAAGCATCAGGCCTAGTTCCCACAACCTCCCTACCTAGTATGTCTATCATTAAATCATTTCCACATGCCTTCAGACACTAATTGTTAGCATCTTTATTATCAACAACATCTTGAATTGAATTTGGGAGGATCTTTAGACTGGTTCAGCTTCATAAGGCCATGACATTGGGTTAAACCCTTATTGAAAGATCCAAAAGGTTGTGATTTTACAATTTTCCACTCAAATTTAACTTTTGTCAGAGATCCTTCTACAAAAGATTTTTTTTCCTCAGTTAAAAAAAAAAGGAAATTCAGTCTCAATCAGCAAGGATCAAAGATTTGAAAGCAAGCTTCCAAGTGTCTGGTTTCAGCCATGCTTCCAGATTTGTTATTCCTACATCTAACTGCTTATTTTAGAATAAGCAACCAAATTACCTCATGGATTTCCATAAATATGTATAATTAATTTTCTTATGATATAATAAAGGTCCGAGTTTGTTTACTGTGGACTTCTAGGTTTACACACTTTTCCTATAATTAAAAGAAAGAGAACTGATGAGCCCTAAAGAATCAGACTTGAGTGGGAGTAGAACCTTTGGTTTTTATTATTTCATAATTTTGTTTTCCTCTACAGTTCAGCTGTGTGTCAGATTATGTCCTTGACGTAATATATTTCCATATTCCTTCAATCTTACGTTGAGAAAAATTTAAATATCTCTTGCCAGAAAATATAATCCAAAATCAAGAATAACCTTGAAAGTAAGAATTTAACATTCATAAACAGCTATCTTATGTTGATTTAATCAGCTAAATGCAATTATTATCAGGGACTCACATACACAAAAGGGAGAGCTGCAAAGCATGAAACAAGGTTCTCAGCATTTCAGAGAGTGCACCTGGTATCAACTCCCACTGTTTCTATGAGAAATTAAACTTATCAACAAGAATATAAACTTGCTTCCACTTATTTAATCCATATTTGAAAAGTCTCTATTCCTTCAGTTTATAAAGCTAATGAATTGACTTCCCATTCATATCAAATATTGCTTTGGAATGTTTTCCAAAGAATATGTATCTTTTAACAAAAACAATTTATGCGAAACATTATATCACTAAATCAAGTATTTTATCTCCAACACATAACAGACTCAGACAATTAGAACCATCCTAAGTAAGAGCACTGATCTTTACTGAAACCTTTCAAAAATACAGAAAGAAATGTATTTCTCATAATGTGTTAGTTTTAACAAAATTTATGGTAAACGTTGTAATTTGATCTTTCTTATAACTTTCAGTTTTTTTTAAGGATTTGAAATATAAAAATATATTTTCAGAAGGTTCATTTGTAAAATAATTTGAGGGGGCAATCCTAAAATATGTGTGATCCACCTCAAGTACCTAATTTCAAGCCATGCATCTATATTTCCTGTAGGTAAAACCCCATTACTTTGTTGTGTTAACTGATTTCTTCCTATATGAACTTTTCTCCTTTCAGGGATCTTTTCCTACCAATGACAATTGTAAAACAACATGACATGCACGCCCAACTTTGATCCATGCGGGTCCTCACTGAGATGGAGACATTTAGAGGGATGAGGTGTGGGAGGGGCACGGGCTCCTGGTTCAGGCACCCTGAGTTCTAAGGGTTCACAGCAGCCCCTTCCTACTTACGTCAACCTGGGCAAGTACAATGTTTTGCACTTTAGTTTGTTTTTTGTAAAATAAAGATCAAAATACCTATCTGGAAGAATTAGAATTGCAGTCTCTCAAAGAACAATTGATATTTTCTCACTGATGCCCTGACTCTACCACTTCCTTCCTATACTTCCTTAATTTCTCTGTGTTTAGTTTCCGCATCTGTAAAATAAGAATAGCAGCCACATCTGTCTCTCATTGAGAGAGAGGATTAATGAGAGATGCAGGCAAAGTGTTTCTAGCAGTACTTGGCGGATGATGAGGACTCAATAAATATCAAATATTTTTATGATTATTATTTTTAAAGTATTCTTAATGGGCCAAGAGGTAACTCTAATTAGGCTTATATACTAGCAGGAAAGAGACAAAAAATGTCTATGTTGCTTACTTTATGACTTGAGCTGTCACAGAGAAGATCAGGGGAAGATGGAAGAAAATGGCCTGGGCAGAGTTGCTGATCTGGAGGAAACCCTCCTGAACTGAAGTCCGGGATGAGCAGGAGCCTGCTAAGCACAGGTGGAGGGCGTGAGGGTGTATCACAGGCACAGACAGAACATATCAAACTGTCCGTGGAGCATGAGATGACACAGGAACTGAAAGGCATTTGATATGCTTTGGCTGTGTCCCCACCCAAATCTAATCTTGAATTGTAGCTCCCGCAATTCCCACGTGTTGTGACAGGGACTGGTGGGAGGTAATTGAATCACGGGGGCAGATATTTCCTGTGCTATTCTCATTATAGTGACTAAGTCTCATGAGATCCGATAGGTTTATAAAGGGGAGTTTCTCTGCCCACCTTCTCTTCTCTTGTCTGCTGCCATGTGAGACATGCCTTTCACTTTCCACCAAGATTGTGAGATCTCCCCAGCCACATGGAACTGTGAGTCCGTTAAAACTTTTTTTTTTTTTTGTAAATTGCCCCGTCTCAGGTATGTCTTTATCAGCAGTGTAAGAACAAACTGATACAGCATTCATTCAGCGAATTTGAGATGTGATGTACAAGGGTTCAGGGTGATGAAAAATGAAGCTGGAGAGGTTGGTAGAAGCAGCCTCATAAAAACCTTGTTAAAAGGTTTGATATGTATCCTGACAGCTGTGGAGAGCTAGCAAAGAGATTTAAGCAGGAAACTTGATGCATGTCCTTTGAGGAGCATCATTCTGTGTGCATGTGAAAGACTCCATTGGAAGGGCAAGCCTGGAGTCCGGGCATGCAGACAGGAGGCAGAGATGTCAGAGATGTATTCCCCTGCAGCCAGGTAACCAGGCATGGGGAAGAGTAGGTGGATTTGTGAAATATGGAGGTGGTGACTCTACAGGATAGCTACATTTGTTACTGATTGGAAATGTTTATTTATCCAACCCTCTAAATTAGACAGTACTGAAAATGGCCCAGTCGCTGAGGCATGATCTATTAAAGTGTTATGTTACTGATAACAGTAAAGAAGCACAATGTTTCATTTAATGCACAGAGAGCCCTGCGAACGATGCAGGTTCCAGTCAGCGACGTCTTTGCTGAGATTTATCTTCACCAAGATGCACCTTGGGCCCCCAGCAAGGACCTAGGGAGATGTTCGGCATTCAGACCCCAAGAAGAAGGGAGGCCCAAGGCTGGGGACTCTGCCAAGTAAAGGAGGCCGAGGAGGCCCTGAGGCTTATGATGTCTGAGGGAGTGGGGCATGAAAGAGGGATAAGACAGAAGACCTAGGGATGCTGAATGGAGCCAGGAGGCAGTGTATAGAACACCCTTGACATAAGTGACTCCATCTTAGAAAAAGACTCCATCTTACATTTCAAAAGGTGTCAAGCCAAAAGGGTCCAAATATTCACCCAACCAATAGAGACCACACCCAACCAGATAAGGGCATAACCCTTCACTATCAGTCCTCATTAGAGGACTCAAAGGCTATCAAAAGAGCCAGACTTCACTAGCTAGACGTGGCCATCTCAACAGGCACCTCTTGCTGTCACTTGTGATCACTCTCCTCGGACTGGTTCATTAATCCTTTTTCCTGCACCCTTTTCTCTTGATGTTAAATCAAATTATGTTGACAAAAAGCTGTACTGGAGATCACATTAACTAGCTCTACAATGTATTTCAACAGGTGAGTTTTGGATTTAAATGAGGCCCATCAATGATTAGCCATCTGATGACTGCCATGCATGGCCTGTGACACTGTCGTTCAGTGTGTGCTGTGAGATAACTCTCCATGGGTTTCTTGGGTTTCCGCACACCTTACAAATAGAATCGCTGACTGCTTTTTTATTCTGAGCTACTTTTCCCAGAATGTTTCTCTAGTGAACAGCCTTTGAAGATTGAGATCGTGTTTTCCTGGAGCAATGGTCAGTCATGACTACAGCCCGGGGCCTAAGGTCAAAGTCTCATCCTGGAATGCAACCAGTATGTGTGCTGATGTTACATGGTCCTCTTTGTGTCACCCTAGAAGAACTGGAACTCAAGGAACCAGTACAACAAAAGCCGATTCTCTGGGTATTGCTGTTTTTGTGAGTAATAAAGTCTTAGTCTCAGGCCAGGCAGTCTAGTGTCTTTCACCAGCATCCATGAACCTGTGACTTGCTAAGCTGTTATCTCACAAATAGGGTAAAATCTCAGACTTTTCACAGTTCTCAACAGATACTATGCTTCTCATTTAGGCAGCCACATATGGTCAGAGAATTTTTTGCCTGCAAAATTAGTGCCTTTCTTGGCAAAATGGTCTGCCTTTTTTAATTCAATGATGAAAATTATGCAACCCTCATGATTTTTTTTGTTTGTCTTGGTTATAGAAAGCTCAACAGTAAATTAATGTTTAGTCAAAATAACAATGTGAGCATAAGTATAATTTCACTTGTTACATACCATTTTCGTGTTAATATAGCTATTTTCTTCTGGTAAACTGATAAGCAAGGGCAATAAAAGTCCATTTTCTTCTTCTTCTTCTTCTTCTTTTTTTTTTTGAGACAGAGTCTCAACCTGTTGCCCAGGTTGGAGTGCAGTGGTGCAATCTTGGCTCACTGCAACCTCTACCTCTTAGGTCCAAGCAATTCTCGTGCCTCAGCCTACCAAGTAGCTGGAATTACAGACATGCATCACCACATCTGGCTAATTTTTGTATTTTTAGTAGAGACAGGGTTTCACCATGTTGGCCAGGCTGGTCTCGAACTCCTGACCTCAGGTGATCTGTCCACCTCAGCCTCCCAAAGTGCTAGGATTACAGGCATGAGCCACTGTGCCTGGCCAAAGTCCATTTTCTTCTGATAGGGATCAAATGAATGACTAGTTCAGAATGTGGCCAACCTGGACTACTACAGTATCTAACTGCTATTTAAATAATCATTTCAACCAGGTATGGTAGCTTATGCCTATACTCCCAGCACTTTGGGAGGCCAAGGCAGGTGGATCACCTGAGGTCAGGAGTTCGAGACCAGCCTGGCCAACAGGGCAAAACCCCATCTCTACTAAAAATACAAAAAAATTAGCTGAGCATGGTGGTGGGCACCTGTGATCCCTGCTACTCAGGAGGCTGAGGCAGGAGAATCACTTGAACCTGGGAGATGGAGGTTGCAGTTGAGCTGAGATTGAACCACTGCACTCCAGCTTGGGCAACAGAGTAAAACTCTGTCTCAAAAAATAACAATAAAAAATAGTCTTTTCTATGGACACAGGAAGGGGAACATCACACACCGGGGACAGTTGTGGGGTGGGGGAAGGGGGGAGGGATAGCATAGGAGATATACCTAATGCTAAATGATGAGTTAATGGGTGCAGCACACCAACATGGCACTTGTATACATATGTAACAAACCTGCACGTTGTGCACATGTACCCTAAAACTTAAAGTATAATAATAATTAAACTCTAAAAAAAAGTCTTTTCTATTGAAATATCATAAGCTCTCTCCCTTGAGAACAGGAACCTCCAGGGCTGCCAGAGTCTTCAGTGAATCCATGATGCAGGGTCCAGGGAGAGTCCACACGACGGCAGTGGCCTGTGGTGCACAGGATCACTGATGGCTCTCTGAAGCTCTCCTGGGGTGGAAGGTTACAGATGGTTCTCAGACAGGTGGGGGTCTGCGACTTCTTCCCTTAATGAAAGGGCTGGGTTCTTGGTGAGGTACTA
Organism: Homo sapiens; assembly: GCF_000001405.40. Classification (NCBI taxonomy): domain Eukaryota; kingdom Metazoa; phylum Chordata; class Mammalia; order Primates; family Hominidae; genus Homo; species Homo sapiens. The sequence goes on from NC_000018.10 coordinate 11,276,119, forward strand.
GACACAGATCCTGATGTAGGAATGATGAGAGTGGAAGCTCTTGGGGAGGAGAGCATTTAAACATGGACTCCAGCAAGAGCCACAGACGTGGGCAAATGCTGCAGTGGCATCCTCAGTTGGGCTCCCTAGAAGTAGTGCCTGGGCAGGGTTTCGAGTGTGTCTGAGTTTTGAAGGAAGCCCTGTTTGGGGAACATCCCATGGTGGGTGAAGGAAGCAGGATAGGGCAGAGGGGAAAGGGCTATTGGCTGGGCGCGGTGGCTCACGCCTGTAATCCCAGCACTTTGGGAGGCTGAGGCGGGCAGATCATTTGAGGTCAGGAGTTCAAGACCAGCCTGGCCAACATGGTGAAACTCCATCTTTACTAAAAATACAAAAATTAACCAGGCGTGGTGGCGGACGCATGTAATCCCAGCTACTCAGGAGGCTGAGGCAGGAGAATTGCTTGAACCCAGGAGGCGGAGGTTACAGTGAGCCGAAATCATGCCATTGCACTCCAGCCTGCGTGACAGAGTAAGACTCAGTCTAAAAAAAAAAAAAAGAAAAATGTGTTCTTAGGCCTGATCTTTGGCTCCTTGATGGTGGAAGTGGAGAGGGGAGGTGGTATTACCTGCAGTGAGGCACATGTGCTAACTTTAGGGGAGATTGGTGCATGCAGGACACATAACACCCTTCCCCTAGCAAATGTGACACCATTGGCTGAGGGACAGTTCTCCAAAGAATCGCAGTAGTAAGCTGCTAGGAGCCAGCACTCACAGCAGGTGTCAGGTGGTTGCACCATCTCAGTAAAGGAGCCTGGGAGGGTACCAACAGCCTCCACCACTGCAGTGCTAACGGGATGAAGGTGTCAGCCTGCAGGGACTGGCAGGGAACAGACCTGCACAGAGCATGTGGTGCTGTACTACAGTGCTGCCATGTCAGCTTTCCCAGCTGGAGACAATGACAGCTCATTACTAAGCTTGAGGTTGATAGTTTGTGGACTCTCTCTTATGGATTAAAGTCAATTAGCACCTTATCACTTTTTTGAATGCTTTTTACAACTCTGGAATTCTACCTTAAATGGCATTGTGCCATTTCCCTTCAAAAGGAACAGAAGTCACTGGTCTCTACAATCCAGGAGAATCTGCAGTAAGATCTTCTCATCAGGCAGGGCAGTGCCATTCACCACTGAACAGGGAAGGTTGAAAGGTGCCCACCAACTTTCTCCTACTGATGGAAAATAGGGATTAAGAAATGAAATTACCTGGTTACAAATTCAATACAAATGGAACACATCTGACTAAATTTCTTGACCACCGGGTTTTTATCTTTGAAATTTTGTCCATAATGTAACCACCACCATGTCTCCAGAAAGGTCATTTCCTCCTAGTCACAAAGTTGTTTTCTTAGTAAATTCTCAAGTGAAGCTTGATCCTCAATTTATATGCACCAAGACCTCTGGGAGTCTAAGGGAAGTAGCATTTTGCATGTCACAGGTCAAAAGTTCCATGTGAAGGGGAGTTGAGATTAAGCCCAAACCATACAAGCAAAAACTTGCTTCTTTATATCCTGACATCCTTAGGCAAGGGACTCTCAAATGAGTCCCATGGGATTGAGTTTCTTATGAGAAGTCACCATTCCCAGTGCACTCCAAGAAGTCCCTAATAATGGAATTTACTAATAATAAGTTTATATTAATTGCCCACTTGACATTTTATAGTCAAATAAACAACATAACATAATAGAGTAGATAGGCCAGCAACATTCCCAGCCCACCTGGACCCTTCAAAATTAGACCCAAATAAGGTCCGGTATGCAACTGATCATGTCCACAATACAGGCGGTACCCCTGAGTGGTAATCGGGAAGAATCACTGGCCTAAAAGGCAGTGAAGGAGATCCCAGATGATCCGGAAATAAAAGATAGTTTTATGTAATTTTGAAATGTTTGGGTCTCACATTGGAAGTTTATCTAATGCCTGCCATGCTTTTGGGTCTACCTGTTCTCTCCCTGACTTTGTATCTCTCTGTCCGCCCAGTAGAAGAGGAGGTAAATCACTGGGCAAGTAAAGTTGAACACCTATGTCCTCTACAATAAAAGACAAACTATGCCCTTGAGGGGCCTATTAAAGGAATCAAATATTTTGTACAAAAAAAACATAGTCCTTCTTTCTTACACTAGTCCTTACTTTATTTTCTACAAAGAGGCAAACATTAATCATAGAGTCACAAAATCTAAATGGTAAGTGGTGATGGTGACCAGAAGGAAAATGTAAGGCACTGTAATTACACTTAACAAGGGCATCAAATCCCATCATGGAGGAGGACAGGGGAGCTTCACTAAGGAATGACCCCCAACCCCCAAACCTGGAAGATGAATGGAAGTTAATGACACACAGGGGCCTGTGGAGGAGTTCCGCAAAAGCCCTGAAGCCAGTTGAGAAAATGGAAGCAAGCTCGCAGGTGGGAGGATGGAGGGAGAGAAGGGCCCCGCTGAGACAGGAAATGTGGCAGTCACATCAGTCCTTGCAGGATTTCATCCTTAACAGTGGGAAGAAAATAGAGAATTGTATGCAAGAGGTGCACATCATCGAATTTGCATCCACACAGTGGCCGTTTGGAGACTGGAATGGTGAGGGAAAGAGCAAATACAGAAACTGCCTAGGGGGTGATTCAGGAACACAGAAAAAAACGATCGGAGTCTAAGGTGGTGGCAATGAAGATGAAACTTAAAAAGCGGGCAGACCCCAGAGCTGTGCCGAACTGGAGAGACCCTCGATGAGAGAATCGAGTCTTCCTTATCTGTGTAGATGCTTCCATTTTAGGCCCAATGACTCCATAAAGCACTTGCTATTTACATGTCTTTCTCTCACTCTTGGACTACAGCTACTGGAGGGCAAGAGTCCTGTCCTTGAAGTCTGTATCCTCCGTCGTTAGCACAGCGTGTGGAACGAAGGGAGACTGGTGAATCCAGGTGAATACAAATGAAGGAAGACCTGCTTCACCGGAAGAGCAACACGCAAAGCATCGACACATCGGCGACAGTTGGGCAAAGGTAAGAGTAAAGCCAGCAGGTGGAGAAGGAGTCCAGATAGAAGAAAGCTTTGAACAACTGGGGAGGCAAAAGTCAAGCTACATTTTTTTCTTAATAATGTTGTTATGTGGTACTGTGCCTGGTACCCCAAGTTAATCTGATTATTCCCAGGAATGTTGCCTTTCAATGAATGTTATCTCAGAGCCACCTGCTCACAGTGGTGCACGTTCTAATTCTTGGCCCTTGAGCAAAAATTTCAGAAAGAGTCATCATGCCCTCTATGAATGACAAAATAAAAAGCTCTCAAAAGGAGATCCCTTCCTTCCTCACTTTGGTGTGCTGGACTCCTTGGGCAATATCTGTGCCCATAATTCTCTTTGAATACTTTAGCCAGCATGCAGACTCCTTACCTGCATAGTAACTCCCAGCTCATTTTCTCTCTCTTCTTGGCCCCTGTGACCTCCTGCGGTTAAGCAGCCCACAGACCCTTGGACCGCAGAGTGCAGGCATCATCAGCTCCACTTGACTGCCAATGCCTTCCAGGAACCAAGGTCAGGTCAAGCTTCCTTGGCATACAGCCCACATCTCTGCAGCAGCTGAGAGGCTTGGGCTTTCCTCTCCTGGAACTGGGGCCAAGTCTCTTATTGAAGCATCTTGTAGGCAGAACTCCATTAATTGTACGAAGACAGGGAGGGAGATGCTCTGATTAGGCCATTCTTACATTGCTGGAAAGAAACACCTGAGACTGGGTAATTTATAAAGAAAAGAGGTTTAATTGGCTCATGGCTTTTCAGATTTTACAGGAAGCGTGACATTGGCATCTGCCTGGTTTCTAGGGAGGCCTCAGGAAGCTTGCAATCATGGCGGAAGATGAAGCGGGAGCAGGCGTGTTACATGATGAAAGCAGAAGCAAGTGAGAGACTGGGAGGGAGGCACCACACACTTTTAAATGACCAGATCTGGTGAGAAGGCACTCACTGTCGTGAAGACAGCACCAAGCCATGAGGGATCTGCCCCATGATCCAAACACCTCCCACCAAGCCCTACCTCCAGCACTGGGGATCACAATTCAACATGAGATTTGGGTGGGGACAAATATCCAAACTATATCAGAAGGGCTGTGCTATCTTGGGAAAGCTACCATCCAGATTTCTTAGCTTTTCTTAATGTCCAGGAAAACCAAACTGGCAGAATCTAGTGAGAGAGACGTGTATAATTGGCTGCACTGGGCACTTTCTTTATTCATGTGCTGTTTTGGGGGAAGTCAGCTATAAAGAAGAAGCACAGAACTTAATGAAAATAAAGGCATCCATGCTCCTCTCTATGACTGTCACAGCAACGTTTCAGCTGCCCTGCGACTCTGTTCCAGGGTCGCCGTGATGGAAGAGCAGGGTGGGGGCCAGTGAGCAGGGTCTCAGTCGCCCCTGGCCACTCTCATGGCTGCTTCCCCACCCCCACGCAGATGCTTTCTGCCTGACTTTCTTGAGTATGAAAAGCCTTGAGGCTTGGGCCCTTTCGGTTCCTGGCTTTCCCCCATTCCTGCAGCCTTCAGGTGGATTTGCAGACGGTCCTCTTCACCCTCTACCTACTCCATCATCCTTGCCTCCACACCCTTGATACCAGCACATTCCCAGTCCCCAGTGGTGCTGGACACTTCCCTTGTGGGAGTGACTTAGGAGTGGCCTTCCAGAGGGTGGGAGCAATTTTAGGAAAGAGGTCTTAAAACTGCATCTGCAGAGGAAGTGCGGGGTCTTACATAGAGGGAAGGATGGGTGAGGGTATTGAGGAGGATCTCTGGTCACCCCAGAACAATGCAGCTATCTTTGAGCTCCCCCTCCTTGCAAACACTCTCACACACTTGGTGAGATGTGGTTCTCACGTGGTCCATATTCCTGTGGGATTCCTGCCTGAACAGCAGGCTGAGGCCTCTAATTCCTAATGTGTACCCTAATAGCCAGCCCACCCAAATTCCTTCCTGGCCCATCTCCCCAGCTGGGGTGAATCTGGGTCCTGAACCGGTACAGTCAGCTGAGAGAAGTTTTGATTGATTGCTTTATTCCATTCACTCACTCCCTCAGCAGTAACCTGTTAATTTTTTTCCTTAGGTGAGGTGCTGGGGATACTAAAATGAACAGGCAAAATCCTTTCCCTTCCTCGAGGAACCAACAGTGCAACTGAGGAGAGCTAAGTAAACAGTTCTGATGGAGGGAGACACATGCTCTGATAGAGGTGGTCAGAGGGTGTTGGGGGACCCAAGGGGAGAAGCCAGACTCAGCTTTGGAGACTCGGGGAAGAATTTCCAAAGCTGCTGGTTTTCTGGACAAGGTCCCATTAACTCCCATCCCAAAGGTGGGATCTTTCTTCTAGTACCTCTCAGCGCCCTGCTTCATCTCTTAAGCATCCAATTCTGACATGAAATAGAACATTGCTGCTATTGGCTGAATGTTCGTGACTGCAACATCTATACATTGAAACCCTACACCTTCTGGAGGTGAGGTCTTTGGAAGGTGATTAGGATTAGCTGAGGTCATGTGAGCTGAGCCCCCATGAATGGGATCAGTGCCCTTATAAGCATCCTGAGAGAGCTTGCTTCACTCCGCTCTCCACCATGTGAGGACACTGGGACAGGGCAGCCACCTGCAACTCGGAAAAGGGCCACACAGAACCCACCATGCAGGTACTCTGGTCTCAGACTTCCAGCCTCCAGAACTGTCAGAAATGAATTTGTGCTATTTATAAGCCACCCAGGCAATGGTAATTTACTATAGTGCCCAAACTGACTGGGACACTGGCCATAGAAAACGATGCTTGCTGTGGTCAGATCACGGTCCATGGTCATCTTATTGTTAGACGAGGGTTCTCCAACAGGTGCACGTGTTTCCCCAGGGTGTGCAACCTGGAGAGCTGAATGAAAGTATTCGAATTTCCCTGACTGTTCATGTCTATCTTTACCTAAGAATAGAAGTTGGTTAAGCTCTCCTCACACTGGGTGTGCGCCATTCACTTCCACACTACTGAAAGGTGGCAGGGCGCATCCCTCCTAACTGGGTGCACCACACATAATGCACTGCAGGCTGCATACGTGTGACCACAGCTTACTGATTATCTTATCCACATTTAACCTATCCAAAATCCAAAATAAACCATAGATCCAAGAAAATTCTCATCATACGAGCTCAAGAGAACAAGAAAGTGAAGGTGCTAACACGTCTAACAGCAGCCACATTTGCAGGAGAAAATAATTATTTCATTTTGCTGTTACCCTCTATACATTTCTTTTTTTATTTGTATATTTTTGTGTTTTTTGAGATGGAGCTTCACTCTTGTCACCCAGGCTGGAGCGCAATGGTGTGATCACGGCTCACTGCAACTTCTGCCTCCTGAGTTCAAGCGATTCTCCTGTCTCAGCCTCCCTAGTAGCTGGGATTACAGGCATGCACCACCACACCTGGCTAATTTTGTATTTTTAGTAGAGATGGGGCTTCACCATGTTGGCCAGGCTGGTCTCAAACTCCTGACTTCAGGTGATCCACCTGCCTCGCCCTCCCGAAGTGCTGGAAGCACAGGCATGAGCCACCGTGCCAGGCCTATTTGTATAAATTTATGGGGTACAAGTGTAATTTCGTTACATGCATAGATAGCATAGTCTTGAAGTCAGGGCTTTTAGCGTATTCATCAGCCAAGTAATGTACATTGTACCCAGAAAGTAATTTCTCATCATCCATTTCCCTCCACCCCTCACCCTTCTGAGTCTCCAAAGCCTATCATTCCACACTCTATATCCAGGTGCACTCATTATTTAGCTCCCACTTGTAAGAGACATGTGGTGTTTGACTTTCTGTTTCTGAGTTATTTCACTTATATAATGGCCTCCAGTTCCAACCCTGTGGCTGCAAAAGACACAACTTCATTCTTTTTTATAGCTGAATAGTATTCCATGGTGTATGTATACCATATTTGCTTATCTAGTCATCCATTGGTGAATACTTTGATTCCATATCTTTGCCATTCTGAATAGTGCTGCGATAACGATAAGCATACAAGTTATGGTAGCTTTCTGACATACCGACTTCTTTTCCCTTGGGTAGTGCATGCACCCACCACAGGGGGACCTTTGTACAAGATTGCTCAGTCCAGCTCTGCCTAGGTTTGCCCCCCCACCTCCAAGACACAGCATAGGATCCGGGCTCCTGGGGGTCCCATGTCCCACAACCTTTATACATTTCTATTCTATTTAAAATGCAGAGTGTACAAAACATGCCTGTACAAGAGAATATTCACAAATGTATAAATAAATACATAAATTCACAAAATGCTTAGAAATATTTCAGTAGTGTTTTTTTTCATTTAAAAATGCATCTAGATCATGGATTTAGATTGCAAGGCTCCACCTTAAGGGAGGCAGCTCGTCCATGTCAGGCAGCTCCTCTCGTCCTGTCCAGCTGGCTTTTGCTCACTTCTCTTCGACACCAGACCTCTGGCATGTCCATATTCTGACTGCAGCCACACTCGCAATGGAACAAGGGGACAAAAACAATGTTTACTTAAGTACATTGTGAAAGTCCAGAGGAACGCTTCTGTTTTCTGGCTGAAATCTCACACGGGAATAAAAGCGACAGAAAACTCTACCCTTTCCTGCACGTGGCCAGCCCCTGTGGACCCTGGTGACAGGCACTCTGCTCACCTTCTGCCTGGAAGTTTTGCCAAGCCCATGATGGTTTTATGAAATCCTTTCTTTGATTTGGCTCCTGGCAGTTTGCAGTTTGAAGTCGTACCTTGTCCTGGATGGAAACCATGTGAAACTATCACATTCTATATTGTTCCCATTCTAGACTATGAATTCACTGGGCTTCATCCAACCCAAACCTCAGCACTGATTTCCTCAATGTTTGGCCCACATTTATAAACCTCAAAGAACCTCCCAGCAAACCTGGCTTGAATCTAAAGTCTCTTTACCCGCATTTACACAGGCCTGCTTTCAAACCGGTAAGCCTGCAATAGACTGCCCTAAAACTCCATAGCTTCCTTCCAGCCATGTTATATATAACTTCAGTATAATTTGTTTAAAAAAAGCACAAGAAAGATTATTTGGAGATTCAAATTGAGTACACTTAATAGAACTATAATGATTCTGGCAATCATTTTCGAAGCTGCAATAACTAATCATTGTAGATCTAACTATATATCCTGGCAGACACATGGAGAATATTAGCAGAAATCTTCCCACAAGGCTGCTTTTAGAGCTTAGCACTGCAATTTGCTGAACATTCTCCATCACTTTCTATAGAAAAACCTATGGCTCCTTTTTAAATAAATAATGCTTTCTGCATATTGCATTTGTAAAAAAATACATACATGTGTGCAATATCGTAAACGGGAGCAATATTTGTATGCAACAATGTGTAACATGATTTGCATCCTGACATTGCAGAGTTAACACTGCCTGTGAAAACTGTTGACTCTCCAATGAATGCTTATATTGTATGTACAGTAGAAATATGTCATGTGTATTACACCCTATAAATGTAATACAGGAAATTAACATAAAGGCATTTGCAAAGTAAAAGTTTATATATCTTTATCTCACAGACGGTCACAAGACTTGCCCCCATCCCCCAAACGCCGGGGAGGGCTGCTTTATAAACTCACATGTAGACTCTTCATCAGTATTAGGAGGGTGGGAGCTGTATGCACCCCAAACATGTGCAGAGAAAAAGGCTCCATTTGTTTTCCTTTCATAATATTTATTATAGCACCTGGTGCCCATAAGCAGAAGATGCTGGTGGTCAGACCTCTGGCCAGATTCAGAGACTGGGCCACAGGGAAGCATGTGTTGCCACCACTCCCTCCGTGCCAAGCCTAATAGAAGAAAGTGAGAGCAGTTCCACTGGGGATTCTTGTGCTTGTACAGCTTCCTGTGACACATTTGTAACTAATTCTTGCAGTCGAGTTTAGTCTGCAGTTTAGATATACACGGACGGGATAAACAGAAAGCAGCAATGTGGTGGTAATTTTAGGTATCAGTGCCCACCAGGACACAAGGCCAAAGAAGGTGGGACTTAAACCACATCCATGAAAAATAAGGGTAAGGCAAAATAATATATGTATATTACAGGCTAAAAGCAAACACCTCTCTAAAATGAAGTTTAAAACACAGAGTGAGAGCGGGTGCATGTCTTAAAATACCCAGGTTATTTATATAAATGCCATCTTTTTCACTGCAAGTTGCACAGTCTTCCATCTCACTTTCTGATGTAGACCATAGACATAGACATCTGTCTGTTCCTCTGTGTGAAGTTCTCATGAGACCTTTGTCCAAGGCCTTTGTCTAATTTGAACCTGATGTTCTTATTCACAAATCAGACATCAAATTGAAATGCTGATTCCTAAATGTAACGAGAGATCATTGAAGGGTTTCATCTCCTGGAAGATGAATTGGCATGTCTCATGGTTGATTCAGGGCCTTACCTCAAAATCTTCATTTATTTAACAACTGTGGTTGTTCATCACCTCTAAGACATCATTGCCGGCTGGGTGTGCACTGATTTTATGTATATCTAAGAGAAAAACATGCTACCAGTTACGACAGTAAGAGCCATCAGTTGAAAGATTGACCCTGATTTCAGGGCATGAAATGTGAAATTGCACACAACTTGGAATTGATGAAATAGTGTGGTCACTGTGTGCCTGCTAGGCACCAGATACTGTAGGTTTTTTTTTTTCCTTTATTCATGGAATTTACTGCCCAGTCAGGTGGGGCAAACTATGCCTGTAAGGCCTTCCATTCTTCCACAGGACTGGCTGCAAGGAAGGCAGACTCTCTCTCTCTCAGGTGTTTCATTTCAGAACGACAAGTTAGTCCCATCCACGCACTAGGTTTAAATATGAGAGAGCAAGTAAACTAAAAAAAATAGGGGCAGGTGCAGTGGCTCACGCCTATAATCCCAGCATTTTGGGAGGCCAAGGTGGGTAGATCTCCTGAGGTCGGGAGTCTGAGACCAGCCTGGCCAACATGGCAAAACCCTACCTCTACTAAAAATACAAAAAAATTAGCTGGGCATGGTGGTGTGCGCCTGTAATCCCAGCTACTCGGGAGGCTGAGGTAGGAGAATTGCTTGAACCTGGGAGGTGGTGGTTGCAGTGAGCTGAGATTGCACCACTGCACTCCAGCCTGGGTGACAGAGTGAGATTCCATCTCAAAAAAAAAAAAAAAAAAGAGAGAAAAAAAGAAAAATACAGGACAGTACAAATCTTCAAAATGGCAAGCACAATGCTGGACACTTTACAGAACCTAATTGCAATGAATTCCCATTGATTCTTGTTTTGTTTGCAAACACATTCCTGTATTTCTTTCTTGTGAATCAATAACAACAAACTTGTTCATTTCTAGAAAAATAAATATATTCTCATAGAAGGCAGTACACTGTGGATGGAAAAGACAAGGGTGCGTATTGAGCAGAGTCCAGATGAGGTCACACACTTTGAAGTAAGGTTTTGAAACTAGATAATAAATCACCTACCTTCCTCAGAGAGAGGCCTAACCCACCCTGTTTTACAGATAGTGCCTGGAGCAAAGTTTTGTTTCAACTGGATTTAGTTATCCTTTTTACCCTGAAACCCACATCTTAAAGTAGTTAGAATAGCTCTTTAAAATAGAACAAATTCTGGCTAGAGACTAAGCGGTTGGTGCGCACACCCTGGAACGGGTGCCTGGGTACACTTAGGCCTCCAATTCCGAGTCCCCAAACGCTCCACATGGCGCCATTTACTTTAGTCCCTGTTATGGCTTCTTAGTCTTTGAAACCCAAACTATTGTCAAGCCATCCAATGAAAAACAATCAATTTCTTTATTCCACTCCTCTCTGTCTGGAATACTTTTCTCATACACACAGATTTTAGCTTGATTTAATTCTTTGAAATTAATTTTCTTCATTAAGACTTTATAAAAGCCTTCAAGCTAAAAATGTCTCCTTAAAAATGATGTAACTGACTGCTGCCATGCCCCACCTTTACGAAAATAACTCTTTTGGAAAGGTTGTTTGCAGTATTTTGAGTAGTAAAATGCTCTGTAAAGTTAATATATAATGTAAACTTGAGATGTCATGTCAACCTCCCTACTGCAATCAAGGTATTGGTCGGAATAGCTCCTTTTTACTTGAATCCTAAGAATCCTAAGCTATGTATTTTTTATTTAGATTATTTCATTAGCTTTAAAAAAACACATTCAATGATACTGACATTGCAAAGTCAGAAGCTTAATGGATCTGTCTTTCCATAAAAGTAGTTCATTTGGTATTTAGCCCCAGTGCTGATATCCTTACTTCTCAAGATCAAGACTGGCTACCTTATTTTAGTCTTTTTCTTTCTCATTACAATATATATGACTAATAGTAAGTCTTACTTTTTTTTATGCTTTGCAGTTCCCAAGATATTCTCTCATATAATATCATATTTGAAATTCACAAAAATCTCTGTTAAGTAACCCACCAAAGACTTTTAGGCATAAAACTTTTTATTTTATATTTATCCTTAGGTAAGGCAAGGTAATATAGGTTTATTAGTTGCCATTCCAGTTTATCTTCAATTTTAACATGAAAAAACAGAGACTTAAATTTTATATATCCATATGTACATCATATAAACATTATGGTCATGACACATTATAACATAAAGTCTCTTGTCCTCCAACTATGTAAATGACTGGAATTAATTAAATTCCATTCAAATGTCAAAAAAGCAAAATACCAAAATATAAAGTGATACTTAGAGTTTGAGTGTGGTAGCATGAAGTTGAAATTTACGTCTTCTTGATTAGAAACTACTTAATAATCAAGAGATTAAAACACAGAAATGCAAATTCCATTTCCAACGAAACTCAGAGGCACCTGGAATCTCAAACCGTAACCTGGACACAGGACTTTCCAGCGGGATCAGGTGGAGGAGGTGCCCATGTGGAGGATGCAGAGCTCAGAAAGAGCCGGGCTTCAGAGACGAGGGGCCCTCAGGCAGCTGGCAAAAAATATCAAACCATTTATAGACTTTTCGATAAGAACTACCACCAGCAAAATCTTAAAGGAAAGGAAGTTCAATTTAATAAAATAATAAGAAATGATAAAATAAAAATGACCACAGACATAATTTAAATAAATAATTAAAATAAGCATAAGAAATGATTTTCCTTTATTCTTTGTAAATAAATTTAAAACTTAAATGAAATTTATACTTCTTTAAGAAACGTAACATACCAAAATGAACTCTAATGAATGTAATTAGGCCAATTACAAATATATAAAGTTTTTCTTTTTCATAAAACATAGCCAGGCCAATGGCTTTCATAGGAGATTTCTACATGCCTGTAAAGATCAGATAACTATGATGCTATTACAGAGCATAGAAAAGAAAAATAACTCTCCAATTATTTTGATGAAGTAGCATAAGATTGAGCCTAAAACCTGTCAAAAGACCACACACAGTAAATTTCTCACTATGCAGAAATTCTAAATCAGATATTAACAAACAGAAACCAGCAGCTCATTAAAAGTTGACATCCTATGACCAAGAGGAGTTAATTTCAGGAATGACGTGATCCTTCAATATCAGAAAGCATATTAATATAATTAACCATTTTAATAGACCTAAGGTGAAAAATCATAGGGTAATTCATAGGTTCAGTAAACATTTTAGTATAATTGAATTTAACTACTTCTAATAGAAATAGGAGGAATTTTTTGTACGTACTAAAATAATTAGTCTCACCCCAAATACTGACTTCATGCTTAGTAGGGAAAAAAAATTCTATGGAATTTATTAGTATCATGACAATACATCAACACCATAATCTTATTATTCTGGAGGTCCTCACTGATACAATTAAATGACATAAAGACAGCGTTATTATAATAATTAGAAAGGAGATGGTAAATTATCACATTTGCATTTTAAAAGTTGTGTACCTGGAAAATCCAATGATACAATATTTATTACAATGATACCATAATACAGTAAGATACACAGGTACAAAGTTAATATACAGAAAACAATAGCATTCATGTATTCCAACAGGAATGGATAGTAAACACAATAGGAATAACCACCCCATTTATGGCATTAGCAGTTAAAATATCAAGAAATAAACTGAACAAAAACATCAATATTCACATAAGGACAAGAGTTAAATGTTTCTGAGGGAAACAAAGGAAAGCTTGAAAAAATGGAAATGCATGAAATGTGCATTTCATAATTCATTCAACCACACTTGAGGTTTGTTATTGCAGCATAACCTAACCTCTCCTGAATAATATATTACCAGATGGTCTTAATTAATGCAGTGTTTTGTTTTGTTTTGTTTCCTGAGAGAGAGTCTCATTCTGTCACCCAGGCTGGAGTGCAGTGGTATGAGATGGGCTCACCTGAAACCTCACCGCCAGGGCTCAAGCAATTCTCCTGCCTCAGCCTCCTGAGTAGCTGGGATTACAGATGCATGCCACCACACCTGGCTAATGCTTTGTGTTTTTAGTAGAGATGGGGTTTCACCATGTGGGCCAGGCTGGTCTCAAACTCCGGACCTCAAGTGATCCTCCTGCCTTGGCCTCCCAAAGTGCTGGGATTACAGGCATGAGCCACCATGCCTGGCCTAATATAGTTTTGTATTACATTCCAATACCTGGTAGAGGAAGTCCATTCATTTGTCCTTCTTTTCTGGAAATTTTGGCAAGTTTTACTGGGCTTGGGTATTTTTCACATTGAAGTTCAGAACTTGCTCACTTTCCCCCAACATGAACTTCCGTTGTTGAAAAAACAAACCCAATTTCTCCCACTATACTCTCACAACTGGCGTCTGACACCAGATAGGAGGGGACTTCTCCCCAGCAGCAAGCAAGCAAGCAAGCAAGCAAGCAATTCTACAGCAGATAGCAGCTGGATGTCCTCTAATTAAACCCAATTCTGACACTAGCTACCTGGGGATAGCATCAGATCCCACATATTGAGGGCTCAGTCCCCAAAACTGTCCCCTCTGCCACTTTCAATGCCAGTTGAAAGCACCACGGTTGTTTTACCTGTGCTTCTGGCCAAATAGCTTTAAACTGGGTTCCCATGACCTCCTCCTTAGATTTGACTAATTTGCTAGAGTGGCTCACAGAACTCAGGGAAACACTAAAGTTTACTGCTTTATTGAAAGGATATCACAAAGGATATAAATGAGGAGATGCATAAGGCAAGGTATGAAGGAAGGGCATAGAGCTGCCATTCCTGCCCCAGCACACCACCTTCCAGGAACCTCTACATGTTTGGCATCTGGAAGCTCTCAGAACCCAGTCCTGTTTTTTTTTATTGAAGCTTCATTACATAGGCATAATTCATGAAATCACTGGCCATTGGTCATCATCTTAACCTTCAGCATTTCTTCTCTCCCTAGAGGTTGGTGTGAGGTTGGAATTCCCAACTCTTTAATCATGCCTTGGTCTTTTCTTGTGACCACCCCCATCATGAAGCTACCTAGGAGCTACCCGCAGTTAGCTCATTAGCATACTAAATTAGCATAGAGATTCTAAGGATTTTAAGAGTTGTATGCTAGGGAATGTGGTCAAAGACCAAATATATATTTTATAATATCCCACATGTACAGCTGGTGCTTTTATGGCCACAGCATTGAATTTATTCACCTAGAGAAAAAATGACATCTGTGTTATATTAAGTTTTCTCTATCACAAAGGAATGAATTTTCAATTGAATTTATATAACTCAGAAGTCTTACCGGGTACTAAGCTTTCTAACGATTAACCAAAGAAGCAGTAGAAATGCATGACACATTGATGTCTAGGAAGTCCCCATCCCACCCCACACATCGGAATGAATTTTGGATTTGAAGTGAATAGCTCTCAGTGTGCAGCATAAATCAGTCACTTAATTTTAATGTCTCTCAAGGACATTAGTGGTTCAGAAAGTCATTAATTGTGGGTTTTTTAAAACAAAAGATCATGTATATCCTGCTAAAAGGATGTTTTAGACAAGCAGTCATTACAAGGGATTCCCTGGAACACCCTCATTTATCCTGAAGTCATTAAATTCTATTAGTATGTTCCCAGGGGGATCTAGTTGAAGTCAAAACTAGGAGACAGGAACAGAGTTGCAAATCTACTATTAATTACTAATTACTATTTGTAATTATTATTTACTTCCCAGAATCTAAAACTTCAAAATTTTCTCTATTTTGAGAATATTAGATGCTGACTTGCTTATTATTTCAATGAGAAAATAGCACAATCAGAAGTAAAGTTTCTTGTCTTCCCACCATCAAGTCTACTAAACTCCCCGAAATTCTACTTTCATTTCTTATAATGTCCTTATCTGGTATTGGTATGAGATTACACTTATAAAATAAAATTGAAAACTCAAAATAAATTTGGAAGTATTCCCTCTATGTCTAGTCTCTGAGAAAGTTTTTATAAGATTGGAATTATCTCTTCCTTGAAAATTTTTGGAATTTACCCTGAAAGTTGGCTGGGATATTGCTTTCTTATGATAAGGTCTTAAATTGCTGATCCAAATGCTTTAGTGGTTATAGGACTACTTAATATTTGTTTCTTCTTGAGGGATTTTTGATAAAATATCTTCCTAAGTGTGGAAAAAAAGAGGAAAATAAACTTCTCATCTGAGTAATGCAAGCCCCTTTAAATTATCAGGCCCAGAAGGCATTGGAATGAGACAGCAGTCCTGTCACTCCCCCTTGAGTTAAATAATTAGCTCTTGAAGCAACTGGCTAGGTGGACTCTAGATTCACTAACACCAAGAAGCCATGTGCTGAACACCATAACTCATACCCTGAAGTTCAACAATCACTAATCAACGTTACCTCGGTAAACCATGAGAATTCCTGAAGACAATTTATATCAGCCCACTCCTTGCTCCCTTTTGCCTTTAAAAACCTGCTTGTAACAAAGGCTGACAGAGCATTCCCTGAGGCAACTTGGAAGTGTCTTGGGCAGCTGTCCTCACTTAGGCTTATAAGAACTCTTTAAACTATATTTTCCTCAGTAGGCTTATAAGAACTCTTTAAACTATATTTTCCTCAGTCTCTTCCTTTTAGGTTGACATAAGAATTCACTCATTTTATCAAAGGCTTCAAGTTTATTGGTATAAATTTGTCAATTGAATTTATTTCTTATTTTTTAGTCTTTCATACATCTCTGGTTATGTCTCATTTTCATATTTAGTGTTTATTCAAGCCTTCTCTGTTTCTCTCTCTCTCTCTTTTTCTATACCAGTCTAGCTGGAGCTATGTCTCTTGTATTAGTCTTCAAATACCCAACTTTTGTTTTTATTCTTATTTTTCCCTATCTTTGATTGCTTTTTCTCTTTTCTGATTTGTGTTATTTCATTTCTTCTTATGTCTTTGGATGTATCTATTTCTCTTTTTCTAACCTGTGAAGCTGAATGCTCATAAAAGAATAACAATATGATGATTAATTTCAAAAAATTATTAATAGTTGCTTTGTTTGAAATCTTTATACCTAGAGCAAATCTATTCAGCACAGTCACTACTATGACTTAGTAGTTAACCAAAATTCTCAGTTATTTAGATTATAATTGTAAAAAAAAACCCATAAAATTCCAGAACCCTCTAAATGTATTATGCCAAGGAAGAAGTGAAGCCCTGGAAACTGAGTCACACAGCAAGTTTGCAATTTCTGCTTCTTATAGATTAACTCTCCTCCGCATTGGTCTTGTTCTATAAATGATGAGGAGAGACCAGACCTCCTTTCCTTCTAATCACTGGCCTTTGTTATAGATTAACTCCTTCCTTTATTGTTCTATACCTAATTAAGGCCAGATGGCCAAAAGACCCTGTGACTAGTATATCTTCAGGGTAGGATGTTAAATATACCTTTCCCAAAAGAAAAAGATCACCTCAACAAATCAGATTATTGTAACTGTGCCTTAAACCTTCTGCAGAAAGATGTTGAAATTCTGTTAAGCTTCCCTGAACTTTTCCTGTATAAAGGAACCCGAACTTTTACACTTCCAAACACTACCTTTCGTTCTTTGGAATCTGCTTCCTGGGCAGTCTCCTCAAACTTTGCACTTGAATAAACTAGCTTTAAACTAGATTCTGACCCTTTTAATTATTTTAGATTGACATTTTGGTAACTCAGATGGGACCTAAAGTGAGCAGCCAGTGATCCCTGCCATTTTTCCAACAATCCGGGCCTTGGTACCGGCAAAACAACTTCTGCTCACCCAGCCTTGCTGGAGCTGGCAGGGGTCTATGATGAGGCTCCTCTTGAGTTTCAAATCTCCCTAATTTTGGTTGAGATTCAGACTTCGTTCAAGTGAACAAATTCCACAGTTGATGGAGCTGGAATTGAAGTTCTGCTTTAAAAGATGTGAGTTTCGCCAGGCATGGTGGCTCATGCCTGTAATCCCAGCACTTTGGGAGGTGGAGAGGGGCGGATCATGAGGTCAGGAGTTCAAGACCAGACTGGCTAATATAGTGAAACCCCGTCTCTACTAAAAACATAAACATTAACTGGGTGTGGTGGCAGGCACCTGTAATCCCAGCTACTCAGGAGGCTGAGGCAGGAGAATCGCTTGAACCCGGGAGGCGGAGCTTGCAGTGAGCCGAGATTGCACCATCGCACTCCAGCCTGGGTGACAAAGCGAGACACCAACTCGAAAAAAAAAATAAAAAAAAAAGATACGAGTTTCACTTCTGTTCTCTAGAGATTCTCATGTCTGCAAATGTGTGAATTTTCACTTTTATTTTAGATGAATGGTTGTTTGTGGAACTTAACTACTTGTTATAATTTGTCCAGCCTTTTCTCTTGTTCAGACTTTGGTCAGGGAAGGAAACAGTTTCTCTTTCTGAATGTCTAAACTCTGAAGCTTGGTTAATTTGGTATATCTAAAGTCCCCTTTTCAGTGACTAATACCAATGAAAAGCTTTCTACAAGGACAAAGATAAATACTGAAGACAAAAGACACTGTTCCTTAGAACCAAAGGCACCTTAGGTGACTAAGGTCTTGCAAGAGTTTTTGAGCTCATTGCTCATCATGTACAATGGCCTGAGAGGGAATCCCCAAATAGGAACATAGAGGGACTCTTTCTTAACCCAGTGGGCACATATGAAGGGCTGATCTCTAATTGCCTTAAATGCCTGTGATTCCTGAGTTTCTCTGAGACACATAAGAGGGGAGAAGTGACTTGTGGGTGACATACCAAGAAGTAAAACCCATTAAGTAGTACACCAACTCCAAAACACCGTTACCTCTCAGTCTTTGTTTACTTAAAAAGATAGCCCAAATTATGAACAGTTGCTCACCTAAAACAGAGTCTTCCCTTAAGGAGAGATCTACATTTAGAAATTCTAGCTGGATTCCTGTGTAATACTGAGGCACCACCTCCTATTAATGGCTAGAAAAATAGTTTTATTTCACCTGTGAAGACTCCAAACTACAATGGCCAAAATGGGTTATCTTTGAAGTACCTAAATTAATTTGTGTGCACAATTAGACAAATCCAAATCTAAAATTAAACAAAATACTTGGGAGAGTTACTTCCAATGATACTTAGAAGCATCCAAAAGAGGCTCTGAAGAAGTTGTTTCTCTATAGGAAGAAAATAGAAAGCTCTCTAAGGCCACTTATGAATTAAGGAAAACTGCTGAAGCTTATTCTCTTCCTTCAGCTTCCCCATGTCTTTAAAGCCCCTTGTCTGAACTACCTTACCCAGACTTGCCTTCTTTTCCTCCTCTTTCCCTTCTTCCGACTCCTGCTGTTTTAACTCCGTTTTGTGACAGCCAGTATCTGGTAGTGAATAACCTGTTTTAGTTTATCAAGCATGGTCAAAAGTAGAACTTAAAGGCATAATTTTAAAATTTCCTCATTCCCCACCATGACCCTATCGGATTTTCCAGGGAATTTGAACAAAACATTCAAGCTATGACCCTGATTTTTCTAATTTGTATCAACTAGTTTACATATTTGTGTCAAAAAGTAAAGCTAAAAATTAGGTAACTAAGGCAAATTGGAGGAACCCTTTGAAGGGCTTTCATACATTTTCAGAAGAAGACTGCAGACATACTCATGAGGTTGCAAAGGCTTTGCTCCAAACCATCCATTTAGCTTTCCAAAGAGTGGTTAGCTGGAATAAAATAAACAATTTCAACAAAGTTGATATATTTTGCAGGATTTGAAAACATCTTTAAATAATATTCAAGATCATCTAAAGACATGTGTGCTAATCATCCAAGTGACACATACCTCAATTTTTAATGTCTTAAATGAGTTAAATGAAGAATTGGCACTAATAGTAAAAAGACAATGCCCTAACTGGGCTACTTCTCAGACTTCTTATTTGGTTAATCTGGTTGATCCATTATCTTGTACCTTAACTAAAGAAGAGAGACAGAGAGAAGCAAAACAAAAGGATACAACTAATAAGACTATGAATTTGCAATCGAAACAACTATCCACCCAGTTTGGACCTCCAGAATACTCCAGTAAACTTCAGAAAGGACCTCACCCTGTGGAGTGTATTTATTGCAAGAAACCTCGTCACTTTAAGAAAAACTGCCAGAAACTAAAACAGAGGTAAAAAATGGGCAAAAGAAGAGAAGAAAGAATAGGGATGCTCCGAGGAACTTAAACGCACCTTGTTTTTCCCTCCTTACCTATACTCTGGGAGAAATAGAAATTATTCTAAATAGAACAAATACAAGTGCTTGTTGAAACTGGAGCTACATTAGCTACAATAAACCCAATCTTACCACAAGGCATCCTTCCTCAGAGCAGGCAAACAATTCAAATCGCATGTAAATCTCAGCCTGTAGCTTTTCAGCCTAGTTCTTTACAAGATACCCATGTTTTTCTCTTATTTCCCTCAGCTTCAATCCATTAGATAGGAAAAAATTTATTCTTTTCCCAAAAGGGGAAAATGTGCTGAGAATTAGAAGACAAAATGGAATTATTAGATACAATAAATTTTTCAGAATCTGATCCTCTTAATTCAAAAATTGCAATTTATATTGCCATAGAGGACATTTAATTATTGAATGATGAAGAATTACAAAAACTGCTAAAGACAGAACCTGATCAACTGTGGTCAAAGTCTTCCACAGATATTGGAAAAACTATCTAACTTACCTCAATCAAAATTCAAATAGACTCATTAAAACCCCTTCCAAACCTTAAACAAGACTCTAAAACCAGAAGCTTTAGAAAGAATAAGACCTATAATTAGAATGTAATTATTATAGACTAAGTCTATAATTCTAGACTATGTAAAAAGAGATCTGATTATTCCCTGTACAAGCCCATGTAATACTGCAATCTTTCCCATAAGAAAACCAAGTGATAGAGAATAGATGTTTGTAGAGGATCTGAGAGAAATTAACAACATGGACATTTCTCATCATCTAGTAGTGCCAAACCTCCATATAACTTTGATTACCATCCTTACCAAAAGTGAGTTCTTTACTATAATAGGCCTATGTAGTGCATTCTTTAGTATTTACGTGGATCAAGACATTCAATTTATCTTCACCTTCACTTAGGAAGACAGACAATACGTATGGACAGTCATGCCTCAGGGATACACTGAGAGCTCAACTTACTTTACACAAATATTAAAAGCAGATCTCTCAGATATTGACTATATTAAGAAATATATTTTAATGCAATGTGTAGATAATTTGCTTGTCTGTTCAGAGGGTAGGCAAGCCTCCATGGAAGATGGGATTAACTTATTACTACAATTAGCCTTAAAGAAACACAAGGTCTCAAAAAAAAAAACATTCACTTTTGTCAAAAACAAGTAAGATTTTTGAGTAATCTAACATCAAAGGAAGATATTTTTATCCACCTGGATAGGATAAAAGAAATCTTGGCATTCCTTACTCCCAAAAGTAAGAAACAACTCAGAGGATTTGGGGGACTGGCAGAATACTGTTGAAATTGGATTCCAAACTTTTTTTTAAACTAAAACTTTCTATACTTTTATAAAACAAGACAAGCCAGGCCCCTTGGAATGGACAGAGGAAAATCAGTCAATATTGGAAGAAATTTAAAAAGAACTTTATAGATGCTGCATCTTTGGGATATCCAAATTATAATATTCCATTTTCATTGTTTGTTCATGAAAATCAAGGAAACGCCTTAAACATTCTGAAACAAAAACATGGAGACCAAAATAGGCCTGTAGGATACTAGTCAGCAACTACACCTTGTGGCTAAAGGATTGCCACCTTGCATGAAGGCAATAACTGCCACTGCTCTGTTAGTAAGAGCAACCGAAGAAAGAGTGATGGATCTCCCCTCTTGGTTTTCATGCCAAATTCTTTGCAAGTATTTCTAAATTCATAGCACACTCAACATTATTCTGTCAGCAGATTAGCTTCTTAGGAAGTTCTTTTTCTTTCTGTAGCTCATATTACAATATCTAGGTGCAAAAATCTAAACCCCCTGCTCCTCTGTCTCTGCCTTCAGATGAGATACCACACAATTGCATAATCTCAACTCACCAGGTTCTCTCTCCTAGAACAGACCTACAAGAAGCTTGCCTTACTCTTACTTAAAAGATGAACCTGGGACTTACTTTTCGGATTATGCTATATTATCTTTAACTAAAGAAAGTGCTTACCTTCCAGAAGCCACCTCAGCTTATCAAGCAGAATTGATAACATTAATCAGAGCCTACCAGTTGGCAACTACAAATATTCATATAGATGGCAGATATGCTTTCAGAGGAGCTCATGATTTTGGAATGCTATGGAAACGAAGAGGTTTTTTTTAACTTCTTGTGGTCAGTCCATAAAAAATGAACACCTTATTTCACCATCACTAGAAGCCATATTAAAATTCACTGGCCATTATTAAAATTCCGAGTCATTCCAAATCAGATACTGCAGAAAATAAAAGAAACAAGTTAGCTGATAAGGTAGCAAAAATGGCTGCTCTAAACGTATCTGAACAAGAAAAGGAATCTACATTAAGTCTCAAAGAAGCACCTGAATTTGGAATAAAATTAGCTCAATCCAGAGCTCCAAAATCCAAACAGAAAATTAGAAGACAAAAGGAGGAACATATTCTCCCAAAGATGAAGTATGGTATGGACCAAACAACTTATCTATACTTCCTACTGGAGATCATCATTTTTAACCTATGTACATGATTTAACTCATTGGAGCCCTGAAAAAATAGTTGCTTGAGAAAATGTTTTTCTCCAACTATAGTTCATAAGGTATACAATTGCTGCCATATCTGCCGAAAAGATAATCCAGGAAAACCTTTACATGGCTCCTAAGGACATTTTGCTTTACCTGATGGTGTTTTGAAGCATGGCAGTTACATTTTTTAAAAAACTTTTTAATTTTTCCTAATAGGTTTTTGGGGAACAGGTGGTGTTTGATTACATGAATATGTTCTTTAGTGCTGATTTCTGAGATTTTGGTGCATCTATCATCACCCAAGCAGTGTACACTGTACCCAATGTGTAGTCTTTTACCCCTAATCACCCCCACCCTTTCCCCAAAGTCCAACGTATCATTCTTATGGATGGCAGTTAGATTTTATTCAGCTGCCTTCATCACAAGGATACAAGTATGTTCCAGTCATTATTTGCATGTTTTCTCTTTGGCTAAAAGCATTTTCATGCTGAAGAGTGACTGTTTAGCAGCAAGTAAAATTATTTTAGAAAAGATTATTCCAACTTGGAATGTTCCAAAGGAACTCCACAATAATGAAAGTACTCATTTTACTGGACAGAAAATTCAATCAGTATGTAAAATTTGGCCATTCCTCCAACACTGCCATTGTGCGTATTATCCCCAATCACCTGGATTGGAGATGCACACAAATGGAATAATTAAGAATCAATTGGCAAAAATAACAAAAGTTTTTAGATTCCATCATTGAAGACTCTTCCATTGACTGTGCTTAACCTTAGGTTACCCCTTTTAGGAAACCTCAGTTTTCCTCATTTGAAATAATAACTGACAGACCTATGAATCTCTCCCCAGGAAACTAAAACTCCTTAACTGTAAGTGGAGACATATTCCTTTATTTTTCTAATCTTATGAAACAATTAACTAAAAATTATTATCTAGTGAAAGTTTCTTATTTATTTTTAATTTTTGTAGGTACATAGTAGGTGCATATATTTATGGGGTACATGAGATATCCAAATACAGGTATATAATTTGTAATAATCACATCATGGAAAATGGAGTATTCATCCCCCCACACATTTATCTTTGTGTTATAATCCAATTATACTTTTTTAGTTACTTTAAAATGTACAAGTAAATTATTATTAACTACAGTCTTATTTTGTACCCATTACTATCCCCAGTTGGGGAACTATCCCCAATTCCCACCCATCTGCTATCCCCACTACCCTTTCCAGCTTCTGATAACCATGCTTCCACTCTCTATCTCCATGGGTTCAACTGTTTTGATTTTTAGCTCCCACAAATAAATGACAATATGTGAAGTTTGTCTTTCTATGCCTAATTTATTTCACTTCACATAATGGCCTGCAGTTCTATCCATGTTGTTGCAAATGACAAGATCTTATTCCCTTTTATGGCTGCATAGTACTCCATTGTGTATATATACCACATTTTCTTTATCCAATAGTCTGTTGAAGGACACTTAAATTGCTTCCAAATATTGACTACTGTGAACAGTGGTACAACAAACATGGCAGTGCAGATAACTCTTTGATATGCTGATTTCCTTTCTTTGGGCTATATACACAGCAGTGGGACTGCTGGATTTTATGGTAGCTCTATGTTTAGTTTCTTGAGAAACCTCCAAACTGTTCTTCATACTGGTTGTACTAATTTGCATTCCCACCAACAGTGTCTGAGGGTTCCCTTTTCTCCATATTCTCACCAGCATTTGTTATTGCTTCTCTTTTGAATAACTGACATTTTAACTGGGAGAAGATGGTATCTCATTATAGTTTTGATTTGCATATCTCTGATGAGCAGTGATGTTGAGCACCTTTTCATATGCCTGTTTACCATTTGTATATTTTCTTTTAAGAAATGTCTATTCAAATATTTTGACCATTTTTTAATCAGACCAGATTTTTTCCTATAGAGTTGTTTGAGCTCCTCACTATTCTGGTTACTAATCCATTGTCAGATGGATAGTTTGCACATATTTTCTCCCATCCTGTGGGTTGTCCTTTCCCTTTGTTGATTGTTTCCATCGCTGTGTAGAAGCTTTTTAACTTGACTTGATTCCATTTGTCCATTTTTGCTTTGGTTGCCAGTGCTTGTGGTGTATTACTCAAGAAATTTTTGCCCAGACCAATGACCTGGAGAGTTTCCCTAAGGCTTTATTGCAGTGGTTTCATAGTTTAAGGCCTTAGATTTAAGTCTTTAAATGATTTTTATTTGATTTTTTTATATGGCAAGCCATAGGGGTTGCCATGTCCATAATCCCCACTTGTCCTCCACTTACTGCGAGTTGGAGGTAATTGAATCATGGGGGCGATTTCTCCCATGCTGTTCTCATGATAGCAAGTAAGCTCTCACCATATATGGTGGTTTTATAAGGGGCTCTTCCCCCTTCCCTCACCACTCTCTCTTGCCTGCTGCCATGTAAGAAGTGCCTCTTCTGCTTCTACCATGATTGTAAGTTCCCCAAGGCCTCCCAAGCCCTGCAGAACTGAGAGTCAATTAAACCTCTTTTCTTTATAAATTACCCAATCTTGGGTATGTCTTTATAGCAGTATGAAAATGGACTAATACAGGGGAGAAGTTTCATTCTCTTTCATTCTTCATTCATTCATCCATTCTTGCATATGGGTATCCAGTTTTCTTAGCACCATTTATCGAAGAGGCTGTCTTTCCCCAGTGTATGTTCTAGGAACCTTTGTCAAAAATGGGTTCACTGTAGATTTATGGATTTTTTTCCGTGTTCTCTATTCTGTTTCATTCATCTATGTGTCTGTTTTTATGTCAGTACCATGCTGTTTTGGTTACTATAGCTCTGCAGTATAATTGGAAGTCAGGTAAAGTGATTCCTCCTGTTTTGTTCTTTTTGCTCAGGATAGGTTTGGCTATTCGGGATCTTTTGTGGTTCCATATAAATTTTAGGATTGTTTTTTCTATTTCTGTGAAGAATGTCATTGGTATTCTGATAGAGAGTGTATTGATTTTGTAGATTGCTTTGGGTAGTATGGACATTTTAAAAATATTTGTTCTTCCAATCAATGAACATGGAATATCTTTTCATTTTTTGGTGTCCTCTTCAATTTATTTTATCAGTGTTTTATAGTTTTTTTTGTAGAGATCTTTCCTTTCTTTGGTTAACTTATTTCTTAGGTATTTAATTTTATTTGTGTCTATTGTAAATGGAATTACTTCTTTTATTTCTTTTTCAGATTGTTCACTCTTGGTGTCTAGACATGCTACTGATTGTTGTATGTTGATTTGGTATCCTGCAACTTACTGAATTTATTTATGAGTTCTAATAGTTTTCTTGGTGTAGTCTTTAGGTTTTCTCAAATATGAGATTATGTCATCTGCAAACAAGGATAACTTGACTTCTTCCTTTCCAGTGCAGATATCCTTTATTTCTTTCTTTCTCTTGTCTGATTGCTCTAGCTATGATTTCCAGTACCATGTTGAATTAACAGTGGTGAAAGTGGGCATCCTTGTCATGTTACAGATCTTAGAGGAAAGGCTTTCGGTTTTTCCCCATTCAATATGATACTAGCTGTGGGTCTGTAAAGTATGGCTTTTATTAAGTTGAGGTATGTTCCTTCTATAACCAGTTTTTTGTGGATTTTTATCATAATGTGATGGTGGATTTTCTCAATTGCTTTTTCAGCATCAGTTGAAATGATCATTTTTTTTGTCATTTATTCTGTTGATGTGATGTATCACATTGACTGAATTAGATATGTTGAACCATCCATCCTTGGATCCCAGGGATAAATCCCACTTGTCATGATGAATGATCATTATAATGTATTTTTGAATTTAGTTTGCTAGTATTTTATTGTGGATTTTTGCACCAATATTCATCAGAGGAATTGGCCTATAGTTTTTTATTTTAATATGTCTTTGTCTGGCTTTGGTATCAGGTAATACTGGCCTCATAGAATGAGTTTGAAAGTATTCCCTCCTCCTCTATTTTTAAGAATAGTTTGAGTAGGATTGGTGTCAATACTTCTTTAAAAGTTTGATAGAATTCAGCAGGGAAGCCACTGGGTCCCAAGCTTTTCTTAACTGGGAGAATTTTTATTATAGCTTCTATCTCGTTACTTGTTATTGGTATGTCCAAGTTTGGATTTCTTCATGTTTCAGTCTCGGTAGGTTATACATGTCTAGGAATTTATTTCCTCTACATTTTCCAACTTGTTGCTCATAGTAGCTACTAATGATCCTTCAAATTTCTGTGGTGTCAGTTGTAATGTCTCCTTTTTCATCTCTGATTTTATTTATTTAGGTCTTGTCTCCTTTTTTCACTAGTCTGGCTAAATGTTTGTCAACTGTCTTTTCAAACTCAAACATTTTGTTTTATTACTCTTTGATATTGTTTTATTTCATATTCATTTATTTCTCCTCTAATCTTTATTATTTCTTTAATTCTACTAATTTGGGATTTAGTTTGCTCTTGCTTTTCTAGTTCTTTCTTTTTTTTTTTTTTTTTTGAGACAGGGTTTTCCTCTGTGGCCTAGGCTGCACTGTCATGATGTAATTACAGCCCACTGCAGCCTTGCGCTTCTGAGCTCAAGAAACCTTCCCATGGCAGCCTAGGCAGACACGCATTCTGGGTGCAAGCCAGGGACTCCAGGACACCCCGGGGCCCAGCACAGGGGCTGCCCGGAAGGCACTGGCCTCCACAGGAAAACCCCAGCCCCCTCCTCGGCCTCACTGCTTTTATCCTGGGCTGCCTCAATGACCCCCTGCAAGCCTGGCTTCCTGTCCCTGTGCCCCTGGGGAGTTCTTGCCCCTTTGGGGTGCCTCCCATTGGGGAGACACGCACCCTGCGTGCAAGCCAGGACTCCACAACACCCCCGGGCAGGCACAGGGGCTGCCAAGGAGGCACTGACCTCCACGGGACGACCCCAGCCTCCTCCTCGGCCTCACCGCTTTTTTTCCCCGGCTGCCTCAATGTCCCCTTGCAAGCCTGGCCTCCTGTCTCTGTGCCCCTGGGGACTTCTTGCCGCTTTGGGGTGCCCCCTGTGGGGGAGACACGCACCCTGGGTCCAAGCTAGGGCATTTTTTGTAGAGATGGGGTTTCGCCATGTTGCCCAGGCTGGTCTCAAACTCTTCGACTCAAGCAATCTACCTGCCTTAGCCTCCCAGAATGACTTCTCCAGTTCTTTAAGATGCATCATTAGGTTATTTATTTGAATTTTTCTTTTTTTTCGATGTAGGCACTTAATGCTATAAATTTCCCTTTTAGTACAGCTTTCACTGTATCCCATAAGTTTTGGTATGTTGTGTTTTCATCATCATTTGTTTCAAGAAAATTGTCAGTTTCCTTCTTAATATCTTCATTGATACAATGGTCATTCAGAAGCATGTTGTTTAATTTTCATGTGTTTGTATAGGTTCCAAAATTTCTTATTGATTTCTAGTTTCATTCCATTGTGGTTGGAGAAGATGCTTGATATTATTTTAATTTTTTTAATGTTTTAAGTCTTGTTTTGTGACCGAACGTGTGGTCTATCCTTGAGAATGATTCATGTGCTGAGGAGACAAATTTGTATTCTGTAACCATTGGATTAAATGTTCTTTAAATATTTAATTAGGTCCATTTGATCTGTGTTGCAAATTAAGTCCAATGTTTCTTTGTTGCTTTTCTGTCTTAAAGATCTGTCCAATGCTGAAAGTGAGCCGTTGAAATCTCCAGCTACTATTGTATTGGGGCCTATCTCTCTCTTTAGCTCTAATAATATTTCCCTTATATATCTGGGTGCTCCAGTGTTGGGTGCATATATATTAACAATTGTTATATCCTCTTGCTGAATCAACCCCTTTATCATTATATAATGACCTTCTTTGTCTCTTCTTACAGCTTTTATCTTGAAATCTATTTTGTCTAAGAATAGCTATTCTTGCTCTTTTTTTGGTTTCAGTTGACATGAAATATCTATTTTCATCCCTTTATTTCCAGTCTTTGTGTATTTTTACAGGTGAAATGTGTTTCTTACAGGTAACAGATCACTGGTTCTTGCTTTTTTATCCACTCAGCTACTCTGTGTCTTTTGATTGGAGAGTTTAGTCTTTTTACATTCAACGTTACTATTGATAAGTAAGGACTTACTCTTGCCATTTGGTTATTTGCCTTCTGATTTTTTTTTTTTTTTGGTGATTTTTTTCTCTTCTTTCTTACTTTCTGTCTTCATTTTAGTGAAAGTGATTTTCTCTGGCAGTATAATTTAATTTATTGCTTTTTAAAATTGTATTTTGTGTGTATCCATTGTATATTTCCCAATTTCAGGTTACCACAAGGTTTGTAAATACTATCGTATAATCCATTATTTTAAATCTGTGACTGCTTAACCCTAACTGCATAAACAAACAAATGAACAACGAAAAGAAAACTAACAAAAATTCTACACTTTAACTCCATCTTCCTGCTTTTTAATTTTTTGTTGTTATTGTGTCTTATTGTACTGTCTATGTCTTGAAGTTGTAGTTATGTTTTTGATTGATTCATCATTTAAGTGAAGAGCAGTTTACACTCCACAATTGCAATGTTATACTATTCTGTGTTTTTCTGCGTGCTTACTATTACTAGTGAGTTTTGGACCTTCAGATAATTTCTTCTTGCTCATTAACATCATTTTGTTTCAGATTAAAGAACGTCCTTTAGCATTTCTTATACAACAAGCCTCACAACTCTACCCAGTGTTCCTACTGTGGATAAGCTGGTATCCAAGATACAAGACAAAGCCGTCTTTATTCTTTGCTCCCCTCTCCTCAAGTAGAAGGAAGGAGTCACTTTTGTTGCTGTGAGTTGTGCTGTCTGGGGTTGGGGGAGGGGTGGGTTAAGCATTTCCTTAGCAACCCCACTGGTGTCTTTCTAGGTCACATGCCACCTTAGTCCACTGGCTCTAAGCCCTATCCAGTGCTAGCGGTTGCCTAAGAACTGCAGTTGTGTCCTAGACTGCCTTTCAAATTTACCTAGGACCCTAGAGCACTTGGCCCATGGTGGCGAGGTTTGCTGAGAAACTCAAGTTGTGACCACTGTGATAGGCAATTCTCCTCGGGTTAGTCTGGTCCAAATGTTCCCTCTGTGTTCAGGCAGTAGCTGAGCCCAGCGTGGTTTTGCTCTCTGCTATAACGGGGCAGCACTGAGTTCAATATAAAGTCTCACAATTGCTGTGCTCCGCGTCTCCCAAGCACACCGGTTTCTCCATGCTGTGTGGTTGTTGCCAGGGGCTGGGGGAGGAGTGGCACAAGCACTCCCTTAGCCATCTCAGCTGGTGTCTTAGTATGTTGCATGCCCCCTCCCCCACCCCAGTTTACTAACTGATCCCAGCTCAGCCCTAGGGCTTGCCTAGGAATTGCAGTCCTCATGGCCTAGCTTGCCCCTCAAGTTTACATAGGGCCCTAGAGCACTCTTGCCCACAGTGGTGAGGCTTGCTGGAACTCAAGGTCTGACCATGGGATGGGTGATCACCCTCTGGCCTGGGCCGGTCTAAGTGCTCCCTCTGTGGGTGGGCGTCAGCTGGGTACAGCCCAGTTCTTCTTTCTGCTGTGACAGGGCAGTGCTGAGTTCAATGTAAAGTCCCCCAGTTGCTGTGCTCTCCCTCTCCCAAAAATACAGATTATCTGCACTACTTGGCAACTACCAAGAGATCGGGGAGAGTTGGCTTTGAAAATTCAAGACTATCTCTCTTACTCCCTTTCAGTGTCTCTTTCAGCAACATGAAGTTAAAACCAGATACTGTTTGCTCACCTAATTTTGAGTTCATAAAATGGTGCTTTTTGTCTGTAATTAGTTGTTAAAATTTGGTGTTCTTGCAGGGGGAATGAATGGTGTAGGCTTCTATTTGGTCATCTTGCTCTAACCCTCAAAAGATTATTTTCTTAATGGGCTCCGCAGAAACAAAGAATTCAAGACCCACAATCTTCAACCAGAAGATTTTGTTAACTGGAAACATTTTAAAAAAGACTTTCTCCAACCAAAGTGGAAGGTCCCTTATCAAGTGCTTCTTACTAACCCTCGTGTTATTAAATTAGAAGAAAAAGACAAGTTAAGAGTTAAAATTAAAATATTACTGTGGCAGGTGTAGCTTTAAATTGAAAATGTAAAGGTAAAAATTCAGGTAAAAAGTGTGAATAAAGTTCGAGCCAAGCAGTATGTTAACATAGAGGTGTTTGCAAAAATCCCCTAGGTAGAAGATTTGGTTACAAATAAGGTTAGATAATAGACTTTTACTCATAGTCATATTCTCAGCTCACACTTTACATGGGCTTATATGCCCATGCTTCTTAAACCATGAAGACACACAATGGGAACAAGGATATTTGAAACAAGGACTGTCCTGAAAACTTTGAGACACAAAACCCCAGACATCTGCCTTCGATAGTTGATACATGCACACAGTTCCACTGAGGAATCTTCTGTTTGATTTCTGAATCTAGAAAAGTCCTTGGGCCGGGTGCGGTGGCTCATGCCTGTAATC
The DNA here is from genome assembly GCF_000001405.40 of Homo sapiens. Taxonomy (NCBI): domain Eukaryota; kingdom Metazoa; phylum Chordata; class Mammalia; order Primates; family Hominidae; genus Homo; species Homo sapiens. The sequence goes on from NC_000018.10 coordinate 11,306,789, forward strand.
CCAGCACTTTGGGAGGCCAAGGCGGGTGGATCACGAGGTCAGGAGATTGAGACCATCCTGGCCAACATGGTGAAACCCCATCTCTAATAAAAATAAAAAAACATTAGCTAGGTGTTGTGGTGCATGCCTGTAGTCCTAGCTACTCATGGGGCTGAGGCAGGAGAATCACTTGAAGCCTGGAGGCAGAGCTTGCAGTGAGCCGAGATCGAGCCACTGCACTCCAGCCTGGCTACAGAGCGAGACTCCATCTAAAAAACAAAAAAAAAAGTCCTTTTTATTTTATTTTATTTTGAGACTGGGTCTCACTCTGTTGACCGGATTGAAATGCAGTGGCACAAACATGGCTCACTGCAGCCCTGACCTCCTGGCTTCAAGCAATCTTCCTGCCTCAGTCTCCCATGCAGCTGGGACCACAGGCATGTGCCACCATGCTCAGTTAATTTTTATCTTTTATTTTTTACAAAGACAGGGTCTCACCATATTTCCCAAGGTAGTGTCTAACTCCTGGGCTCAAGTGATCCACCCATCTTGGCCTCCCAAAGTGCTTGGATTACAGGCAGGAGCCACTATGAACAGCTTAACTTTTATTTCTTGGAAGTCATATTTATCTTTTCTTTCCAGGATCCTGATGACTCTGTAGTGGAACACATACTTCATCCTTTTACATAAGAAAGTCTGTGTTCTCCATTTTAGAATGTAGCCACCCCAACATTCACATGGGAGATTCTCCATCAACACCATTCCCTGGGATCAGCCATCCCCCTCCCACCCCCAGCTCAGAACACAAAATGTGTAAACACTGGTTTCCAGATTGTTATTTTTATTAACAAAGGTATGGGTCTTGCTGGAAGAGAGCTAGTAGTGTGACTAAACTTGTGAACTTTAGAAATGATGACACCTTCGAAATTGAAATAAAACCTTCTGAAAAATTAAGATTTTTTTCCCCAAATTTGGTTCTATCCACTTTCAATAAACAGAAAGTAACAAAAACTCTGAATATGAACAAATAGCTGAAGAGGTGAAACTTTCTAATGGTGCCAGATGGAACCAAAATCACTTTGTCAATGAGATAAGAAACCAGCAGGACTTGTTTTCTGAGCACTGGTCACTACCCTAGTTGTGACCCTGCTGATCAGAGCAGGATCTGGTTGAAACAGAGTGCAGTATAGAAGCCAGCCAGAACCAGCGGATAGCTACAAAAGTGGCTTCTAGTTGCCCTCACTGCTCATTAGAAGAAAGGTACTCCCACTGACACCATGACAATTTACAAATGCCATGGCAACGGGCCATGGCAATGGCCCAGAAGTTACCTTATATGGTTCTGAAAACTCCCTGCCCCCTTTCCAGATAGTTTTAAATAACCTGCCTCTTAATTGGCATATAGTTAAAATTGGGTATAAATACAACTAGCCCACAGCCAATACGTTGCTCTTTGGGGCACACTGCCTATGGGATAGCATGGCTCTGCAAGGAGCAGTACCTCTGCTTCTGCTGTACGTTGCCACTTCAATAAACAAGTTGCTATCTAACACCACCAGCTTGTCCTTGAATTTTTTCCTGGGCAAAGCCAAGAACCCTCCCCGGCTAAGCCCCAGTTTGAGGGCTTGCTTGCCCTGCATCATCAACATAAAAAAATAGAGATAAATGTATAAGTACAAAGGTTTTATATGAGAATAATACACAAAAAGTAGGATTGCAATTCAGGACCTAAAGACTCACCAGAGTGGCCTCTGGAACAAAGGAAAAGGCAAGAGTTTATTGGGGAAAGAGGAGATTACGCAAGTTGTTTTGAAAGAAAGCTTATTGGTGCTGGCGGCATCCTGCAAGAGCTGGTGACTCTGATGGGCCAGTGTCAGTCATTGCAAGGTAGGACTTCTGATCTTGGGGTTTTAGTTAGGCCCTTGTAGTTTTGGATTGGGTTGGTGAGACGGTATTGAAACCGGCAACTATTCTGTATTGTGCTGCTAGCTGTCCTTGTGTGACTCATGTGGTAAGCTGTGGTTTGGAAAAAGATTGTGATAGTTCCTGTTATCAGACAAATCTTGAGTGATTTGCCAGCTCTGTCTGCCAGGGTCTGACACAAGGGACGCTATTCCTGATTGTTCTTGAAGTGCATTCTAATTGTATCTCTCACAATGACAGAGTAATGGCCATTTTGCTTCATAGAAATTAGTAGGCAAAAGAAAGAACTGAGGCAGGCAAACCCCAGAATTGCATCTCAGCCTGGAAGTGTTTTTGGCTTCACTCAGAATTCAACAGCGAGCTAGCCATGAAGGAAAGCAAGTTTATTAGAGCAACAGTGGGCAACAAAATGGCCACTCCACAGACAGAGCAGGGCCATCCCATAGGCAGAGCATCTTGGAGCAGCAGCAGCCAGGGTAGCAGCCCAGAGCAGCAGTCCCCACGGATTGCTGGCGAGCCATATTCATACCCAATCTCAATTATATAATAATTAAAGGGCAAATTATTAGGAATTTTCTAGAAAAGGGGCAGAGGAGTTCCCAGAACTACATAAGGTAACTTCCAGGTCATTGCCATGGCATTTGTAAACTGTCATGGCGCTGGTGGGAGTGCCTTTTTGCTAATGAGCAGTGAGGACAACCAGAGGTTGCTTTTGTTGCCATCTGCTGGTTTCTGCCAGTTTCTCTGCTACATCCTGTTTAGATCAGCAAGGTTGTGATCAGAAAACAAGTCCTGCTGATCTCCTACCTCAGAACTATTTCTGTGGCTAGTATTTTGCTGTGATGAAGTTTTTCTGAACTTATTTTGACCCAGTAACCTTTTCATCTGGCTGACCTTTCTGTGGTCTCTGGACACCTAATGGAGATGCATAGTAACAAAGGCACGAAACCCTGAGCAGGTACACAAGAAGGGCTTTTCAGGAGAGTTCCACTGTGTTGATGTCTTTATTATTTTCTTCTCAGGTGTTGCTATAATCACCCGAGAAAGCCCAAAGAAAAGGTGGAATGAACAGTTCCACTAAGTGATGTGAGAAGTCTGTCAGTCCCATTGCAAGCCAGGCCAGATATACAAAAAATTCTGCATTATCTGTTCTTCCTCATTGTTTGGTACCTGATAGTGTTACCAGCCAGGTGTAGGTCTGTTCTGCCCATGTGCCGTAAATCAATCACTGTAACACTAGTTTTGTAAGAGGGAAAGAATTTATTCCCAAGGACACCAAGTGCGGAGGTGGGAGAATAGTTTTCAAATCCACTTCCCTGAAGATAAGGCTGAGGGATATTTATGGGTTAGGGACACAGGGTGAGGAAAGGTGATTGGCAGTGGGGGAAAATGAAGTAACAGGTTCTTTCTGCACAGGGTTCACAGTATTTCATAGGACATATGTATAGAAAGGCGGCATTAGCATAACATAAGGGTGGAACTTTGGGCCTTCTGAAGTCAAAAGGCCACCTCTCGGGCACTTGCACAGGCTCCGTTGAAGTGTCAGTGGTCTCAACCAGTTTGAACTGAACAGGAGCTGGCCCAAGTTTCTGAAAAGCAACAGAAGCAACCATTACCATGTTGACCTGTTAATGTTATGCATAAAGTAGTCAGTGATGATTAAGTATCAGCGTTGAGTGTCAAGGCCTTTGGCTTCATGGAAAACACGAATAAACAAAAACAACAAAAAAGCAGGCCATCAAAAGCAAACAGGGCAGGCATACCTGATGAAATTAACCCCTTGGTTTCAATAGTACTAGCTGTAAATGGGCTCCTGGAGTTAAGGCATGATATATATATATATTAGCGTAGGAGCAATATATTTGTCACAATAATGGCTGTAGCTTGAAAACAAAGGTAGCTCTTTTAAAGACTGGAGCACAAGACACAGCAGTTGGAAAGGCAGAGGGCAGGGGTGGATGGCAGGGCAGGGGCTGGCAGAACATGGCCACCAGAGGTCAGCATTGAGACCACAGTCCTTAGGGTCAAGTGCAGGTGCTAGATAAAGCTTTTCATTGAATCATCAGAAATAAGGCTTAACAAGTTACCATCCTTCAGAGTGGTAATATGCTGATTTAAATTGATCCTACATTATAAATAGATTGCAAATTTTTAAATTTTTATTTCCTTATAAAATGAAAAACAGGGGTTGTAAATAGCTTACATAAACACATAAGTATTGTAACAAAATTTAAAATATACTTGCTGAAGAAATTACAGAAGAGGAAGCAATAGAGAGCTGGTGATAAAGCAGCAGTAAAGGTAACACCAAAATCCATCCCTTGAGATCTTTTATGTTGGTAAGTAAGCCACAAAAAAAATTGTTCTAAGTATTTTGGCTACAGATTCAAGGAGGACAATGACAGTTAATCATCTGTAAATATTTCTCACAATGTAACTTTTGTTAGGTAGAGAAGGACAGTGGTTCCAGTTTAATGTGAAGCCACAGATGTTAGCTGATTGGAGGGCGAGGCAGGACTAAGGTCTTCCTGTGATGCTGAGCGGTCTGAAGAGGGCACACACCTGATCCCCTCTCTCCACAGATAGGGACTAGGGGGCTACTTATGAACAGAGCCACAACTGCTCTCAGAACAATTTAGGTTCACTATGACAAGGTGCTGAAGGGGTCATCTAGTCCCTAAAGTTCTGGCTAATAAAGCAGTGCTTTGGAGGTGGTTACAACAATTAAGCCCTTTATGTAAATGAGGTCTTATATGAATGCCTAGTATCTACCAAATCCATGACCAGCAGCCCCATCGAGGCAGGGTGGGTACCCACAGCTGCGGTCTCCCATCTCTCACAGAGAGTCTTCTGGGAGTGTTCCAAGGCAGCTTGATGGCAGGTCCTAAGTCAGTCACCTTACAGTCAGATTACCAACAAGTTCCAGAAAGCTTTCCTTTTGAGGTTAACAAAAACCAGACATTTTTAAAATCAAGAATAATCAAATGCCCACCTTATAACTAAAAAAGAATCAATAAAGCTCTCACAGAATATTTAATACCAAGTAATAAAACTTCCTGGTGCACTCACCAAGATAAAAGGATTGTAAAGTATATTTCTGGGCAACTGAGTGACTTAAAATGCCACATAAGTTTGTTATCTTGAAGACAATAAAATGGTGATGGAGGTCTAACAAAAATATTGCCATTGAATATTATCACCTGACTCTGAAAGTTACTGATGTGAAACCCACATCTTTTCATCTTTATTTATAAGAGTACATTATTGTTGTTTTCCTCTGTGAATGATGGTGTCATCCAAAGAGCTTTGTTTTTCTACTATTTTGTTTTTGAAATGTTATAGATTTAAAAGCTTATATGTTTGTAGAAAGCAAATTTAAAAATTAAAAAATATTTTAGAGCACATTCCTATTTGACCCTACGGGAATGTGTCCTATTTGACACATTCCTATTTTCTTATCCTGCAAGAGATAACACCTACTAAACTTGACCTGCAAGTGACATAAAGGACAGATTTTGAGTGAGGGTCAGAAACAAGGGCGTTTAAATTGAGCTTCTGCAGTGAATTCTACTACAGGTACATGTCCAGGGGTGCAAATAACTGGGGTAAAATTAATAAAGATACTATTTATCAACTTTAATATATAACTTCATAACATTAAAAGGGAGTAGCCATGCTCAAATCCCAGAAGTTCCTGATTGGCCTGGGAAAAACATTTTTAAATTTAACTAAGAAAGAAGCCGGCGTCATTTGAACAGAAATGACTCATATAATATAACCTTAAAGGAATAAAGAGATGATCTTTTTGAAAATAGGGTAAGCTACGTATCATATCCACCAGGTATAATCATACCTACATAATCATAAAATCAGAAATATAAGCAGAAGTGGGCAAGAACAAAAGCTACTTTTCCAATTTTGCTTAAACTGTTTTAGAGGCAGGAAATCTTTTCCAGTTTTTTAAAAAACCATGCCATATAAGAAGACTGTTCATAAAGTAGCTTGAAGAAATGTGAATGACTAAGATTATCTGATTTCTGGGAAGATGCTGGGATGCTGGGATGCTGGGATAAACAGAAGACATATTATTGCTCTATCAGGTGAGATGGGGGAGTGCACAGAAGTGTGGGCCGACAGGTGCAGGAAGCCGAGGCCGGGAATCAAGACCAGCATCTCCGGTTCACACCCATCTGCCCTCACCTCCGCCGACTTTCCCATCTGTCTCTGGACTGGGGTCCCAGCTTGATAACACACTGCAGTGCATTTCCTCTGTTTTGCATGTGATCCTTTGGGGCTGGGCCTGGGAGGCAGCAGCATCTGGATAATGGCTCATGACCACCACGACTACTTCTCGGGGCAATTAACAAGAAAACATCCTGAGCTGAGAAAGAAAGAAGGGCTTGAATACAAGTGGAGACTGAATAAGCCGACCATGGAGGAGGAGAGAGCTGGGAGGCTTGAGGGAGATGTTTACAAGCCTGAGAAGCAGCAAACACAAGCACCATGACACAGAGGCAGCATGTGCAACTCTTCAGGACAAAATGCATCCGGAAGAGAGAAGATGATTTTTAAAATAAATATAATTTGAACTTTCGGAGAAATATGAAAGGCTACAGTAACTATAAAATAAAAACAGAAGGCATGAAAGTATATTTTTAAACAATTTTAAATAAGTACAGGTACCAAGATCTGGCTAATTATTATGGTATTTAATCAAGAACAACCCACAGGATGTATTCCTCCTTCACCCATGTACAAAGAACAACTGCATCTAATATTTGTCCCTGGTTTTAAATCTTCCTTTCTTATGTGTTTACTTCTTTTTATTTTTTTAGAGACAGGGTCTGGCTCTGTGGCTCAGGCTGGAGTGCAGCAGGGCCATCATAGCTCACTGTAGCCTCGAACTCCTGGGCTCAAGTGATTCTCCCACCTTGGCCTCCCAAAGTGCTGAAATTACAGGCTTGAGTCATTGTGCCTTTTAAAAAAACCTTTGAACAAAGTTGTGCTTCTGCAGAGGAAGGAGGCCAACCATGGAGGAAGCTATTAGGCAAGAAAAAGAGGCATAGCAGAGGCTATGCTAGCTTCAGATCTGTGCTGAGGGGATAGCACCTCTGACCTGCCATGAAGTGAAGGCAATCGGTGCTCATCTGAGCTCCAGCTCCTGTGCCTACACCCCTGCCAGCCCCAGGAAAAGCAGGCTTCCCTTGGCACCTTCACCTCATCTATCTCCAGCCCTGGAGTTTGCTCTTCTCCATAGGGACACGCCCTTCGAGGAAAAGACCGTTCATGGCTGCTGAGGAAACTCCGTAATTACCCATTCTAAACATTTTGTCCTCCGTAAACAAACGTACAGATTTTAAAAATCAGCAGGGTGTGGTGGCTCACACCTGTAATCCCAGCACTTTGGGAGGCCGAGGCGGATGGATTACCTGAGGTCAGGAATTTGAGACCAGCCTGGCCAACATGGTGAAACCCCATCTCTACTAAAAATTAAAAAGTTAGCCAGGCGTGGTGGCACATGCCAGTAATCCCAGCTACTCGGGAAGCTAAGGCAGGAGAATTGCCTGAGCCCGGGAGGCGAGGTTGCAGTGAGCCAAGATTGTGCCACCGCACTCCAGCCTAGCTGACAGCGTGAGACTCTGTCTCAAAAAGAAAAATAAGAAGAAAAAGAAAAAAATCAAGAGGCATTCGAATGATTCGAATGTAACTCAGAACATGCAAGAAAAAGACCTCCATAAACAAAGGAAACATTAGGTTCTAGAGAAATACTCAGAGATGGAGAAGGGAAAGAAGAGAACTTCTGAAAAATACAAATTAATGTTGTCAGAGATTTAAGCCCTTAATCTATTTATGCTCTTTTAAAGGAACAGCCAGCTATGAAATTAAACAGAGTTTTGTAAATTAAAAACTGATATACATATACAAACAGAGGGAGAGAGAGAAATGGAAGGAGATAGGTCAATATAAAAACTGAATAATTCCGTATTATATGGCTAAAGTTCTAACTATTTGTTGGGAAATAAACTTGGAGAAATCTCCCATAACATACCATAAAGGAAAAAAAAACAATAGATTCAGTGAAAGAAAAATTTGAAAGCAAAGAGGATCATTACAGAAAGTCTAATGTTCATCTAATAGAAATTTTAGAAAGAATTGAACAATGAAGAGATGAAATGATTTTTAAGAAAAGAAGAAAGATAATTTCCTGCGATGAAGATTTTAATCTCCAATTTTATAAGGTCCTTTGAATGTCAAAAAGGAAAATTTGAAAAGAGAAGGATACAAAATTTTTGAATTTTAACAAGATAAAATGCTTAAAATTCCCACAATGAAAGAAAAACTGGTATCAGACTTTTATCTACTTCACGGGTTTCTAGATCTAAGGCAAAATGATCACTTATGTATTAACAGTTAACTAATATTTACAGACATGCCAAGACTCAGAAAATTTAACATGTGAAAGAATAGCCTGCTATGAAATAAAGAAAAAAAGGCAGAGTTTTATAAATTAAAAACTGACATACATGCACACATGCAGAGAGAGAGAGAAATATTCCTTCTGAAAACAAAATTACTAAATGATAAATTCAAATAGAACAATCAGATAAATGAATCAATTTGAAAAGCCATGGGCTACATGAAGAACAAATTAGCCAGAACACAGATTTTATTTTTACAATGAAAAATGTGAATAGGTTATATTTATTAACTAAATGAGATAAAATCAAATTCATATAATAAAATAATTTTGTGTTGCTTGATAAAAATATACTTAAATCAAAATTAAGATAAAAGTTGAATATGAAACCATGGACAAATATATACCAGGTAGATGAGTTTTTAAAAAAAAACAATTAAGTGATGATTAAATAAAGAATCCTATTGCTTGCTTAGCATCATTTATATAATGTGTGAAATACTAATTTTTAAATGTGTTTGTGTAAGTGTAACAATTGGACACAAATAGCCAAGATATATTTTACAAAGAAATAGAATTAAGGTAATGCTAGATATTAAATCTCATTCTCTTGCTTAGTTGCACTATCCGTTGTTGAAAGTAGAATAGTGAAGTCTTTATTACCGGTAAATTGTCTATTGCTCTCTTCAATTCTGTCAGTTTTGCTTCATGTATTTTGAGATTCTGTTGTTACATATACATATATTTATATTTGTTATACCTTCTTGGTGAATTTACCCTTATGTCATTATAAAATGTCCTTTGTCTCCAGGAACAACATGTGTCTATTTTGTCTAATATTAGCATAGTCCCTCCAGCTCTCTGTTGGTTATCCATCTCTTTCCATCATATTAATTTCAACCAATTTGTGTCTTTGAATCAAAAGTGTGTTTCTTGTATACATATTGTTGGATAGATATAGCGTATATTTATACAATGTTTTTTTCATTCACTCTTCCAATTTCTGACTTTTAATTGGAGAATTTAATCTATTACTATTTAATATAAGTAAGATAGAATTTACGTCTGCCATTTTGTTATTTGTTTTTTACGTGACTTACGTCTTTTTTGTTCTTCCTTTTTTTTTCCATTACTGCCTTGTGTTAAATAGATATCTTCCAGTACCACTTCTATTTTCCAGTTAGTTCTTTTACTATATATTTTTGAGTATTTTATCATGATTATTATTGGGGTTACCATTAGCATTTTAGCTTACAATAATCTAGTTTGGATTACTACCAACTACTTCAATAGTATTTTTTTTAATTTTGTTTCTATATAGCTTTGTTCCCCTACCCCTTAGGGCTGTTATGGTCCCAATATACATCTTCATATATTTTGAGGCCTTAATACATTGTGTATCAATCTACTTAGATGTACAATTATTGCATTAGGCAGTAGTCTTTTAAATCAGATAGGATATTTTAAGAGGAGCTACAAACAAAACCAAATTTCTACTTTCTTCTATATTTATATCTGTCCCAGGCATAACCATCTTAGATCATCCAGTCACCAGTCAACAACCCTCCAGCTGAGTGAGCCTAACCAAGATCACCCTTGCCCTGTCCCAACCAGAAGAACCACCCAGCTGACCCTAGGCTCATGAGCAATCATAAATGTTTATTGCTTTGCTCCACCAAGCTTTGAAGTGGTTTTCTTTACAGCATTATTGTGGAAGTAGATAAAAAGTGATTTAGTAAATTTTTCTGTTTGATTTGTGATGTATCCTTTTTCATTCTGCTTCTTCACATGCTACATTCTGTATCACCTCCATTGTTCCTTCCATCTATCCAGTCTTTTTTTGCCAACACCACCCTTTTTGATTTTTCACTTTTCTGTATATTCCAATATTTCATTTTCCAAGAAATGGGTATTAAATTCTTCTGCCACTTTCTCAGCATAGAGGATATTGTATGTTTTTTCTTATTGGTTCTATTGATGTAATGTTATATATTCATGATTTAATAAATTAAACTGCTCATGAATTCATGCAAATAGGTTTTTCTCAGGAATTCATGAGACAGGTCTCAATCAGTTTTGAAGTTTATTTTGCCAAGGTCGAGGATGTGACCAGGAGACAGGTCTGTGCCTTTCTTGAAAGATGATTTTGACGGCTTCAATATTTAACGGGAACAAGTGGACTGGAGGGGAGGGAAAGAGAGTATGGTTACATTATGGAATCCACATGTTGCAAGATAAAGGAGCAGGTAAGGGAATGGTCAATTTTGTATTTGTCTGGAGCTCAGTAAATCCACACTTTATATAAGATAAGGTGGAGATAGAGTAGCTACCTGTGGAAATATTTAACCTTTTATATGTACCTCTCTGCTTAGGAACAAAAGGAAAGGCAGCTTCTTTGTAGGTCTCAGCTTTCAGCCTGATTTTTAATTTTGGCAGAGTGAATTGGGGTCCCAAGTTTTATTTTCCTTTCACATTTCGATCTCAGTCTTCTAGAATTTTACCCACTATTTTTACATCTACACTTACATGTGAATTTGGTCTTTAGTTTTGTGTGTTCTCATTATCACAATTTTATGTGAGAATTTTGAAAGCTTAGTGAAATGAATTGGGTTTCCTTAATTGTCTATGCTTTGGGGCATAATTTATATATTAGAAGCATTATCTGTTCCTTGAAGATTTCAAGTAACTGACTCGGAAAACCATCTTTATATCTAACTCACTGAGCCCCTTAGCAATGAACACGTTTAATGATCAGATCTAAGAGGAATACAATACCAATTATGTAGTCATTCTGCCAAAAATGCATAACTGAAATCTAATCATGATGACATAGAATACAAACAAATTAAGGGACAGTATGCAAAATAAACAGTTGAAATATACTTTTCAAAAATACCTGTGCCATGAAAGACAAAAAAAAATTAAAGAACTTTTCTAAATTCAAGGACACTAAAGCGACATGAAAACTAAGGGCAATGTATGATCCTCAGTTGGAGCCTGGATTAGGAAAAATGGCTGTAACAGATATTATTGAATAATCGGCAAATTTTTAATATGACTATAGGTTAAATAATAGTATTACAGCTGTGTAACTTACCTGATTTTGGTAATTATGCTGTGGTTATGTAAGAGAATGCCCTTGTTCTTAGGTGATGTTCTCTGAAGTATGGAGAGTTAAGGAGAAAAATGGTCATAAGGAACAACTCTTTTTTACTTTTAGACAATCAAATTAACGCCATTGTAATTACACCAACTCAATTGGAATTGACACAAATATTTTTCCAGACACAACAGAAACTCACTAAATCTAAGTGTTTATTATGAATTTTAAAAATCTCATTAATAAAGCATTAGATTATTTCATACATCATTTATATAATTATTTATAATCTCTGTATTTTCATGCTAGAATTTTGATAGGGCTATAACAAGTAGTAAATAATACAATTGGATTCTGCATATCTCTCATAGTTTTGGCCAACACAGATATTAAAATCATGCTAATGACATAGTTACATTGTGTCATGTATGTGGGCCCTTTTTTTTAGAAGGAACTCTAAATAAACTCAGAGTGTGTGCATCTGAAACCTACAATGAATCTGGAAGGTAAATAGCTGTACCCCTCACTGTTTACTGGCCAACTGTTTACACAGCTCATGAAAAAACACATGTATGTGCCCATTCAAATGTTTTTAATCCGAGAAAATTGTCAGAAATAACCTGGAAGCATTTCTTCCTGAAGACAAAGTCTGAGGGTGGTGACCTGTAGAGCGAGAAGACGTTGATCTACTGTCTTCCAAGTGCAAGATTCTGGGCTAATGAGACAGCTCAGGGTGAGTTTCAGTGCCCAGGCAGCAGGCTGAGATGAGGCCTCACTCTTCTGTGGAATCCATTTATTTACATGCATCTTGCTATGTTTACAGATGGGCAGCAGATTAAAAAAACACCATAAGTAAGCCTAAAGGCACTTAAGAAGAGTACTATATTAGTTGAATAATAAAACTGAGTAAATTTTAGAATGTAACTTAGATAAATTGGGGTTAATAAAGAAATGTCTAGGTATTAAAAATTGTTTTCACCGGGCGCAGTGGCTCACACCAGTAATCCCAGCACTTTGGGAGGCCAAGGCAGGCAGATCACCTGAGGTCAGGAGTTTGAGACCAGCCTGCCCAACATGGTGAAACCCTGTCTCTACTAAAAATACAAAAATTAGCCAGGCATGGTGGCAGCTGCCTGTAATCCCAGCTACTCGGGAGGCTGAGGTAGGAGAATTGCTTGAATCCGGAAGGTGGGGGTTGCAATGAGCTGAGATCGCGCCATCGCACTCCAGCCTGGGCAACAAGAGCGAAACTCTGTCTCTAATAAATAAATAAATAAGTAATTGTTTTCACCTAGATGTCTTGGAATTTTATGGAGAAATTCTCAAGATTTGCCTGTGTAAATCCATGACTTCCCAGTTCTCACGTTCTGCATGGGCAATGTTGGACCAATTATATCACCCAGACACAATATGCAGCTTCCTTCATGTCTGTCTGGCTCTGCTCTCTTTCCTGGAAAACCCTCTCTCTGCCCCATCTCAAGGTAGACGCAATCTCTCTTGACCAGTTTCTTGATATACATAGAAACTATTTTAAAACCTATTAACTGAGAAAATATATATGTCAACACACACGTCACTCACAAATATACAAACCTTCGCTTTTACCATTTAATAAATTATATGCAGAAACTTAATAAAATCAGAGAAGACAGAGCAGAAAACAAAATCAGTTTTGTTTTGTTTTGTGTTTTATTTTTATTTATTTATTTTGAGACAGAGTCTCTCTTTGTGGCCCAGGCTGGAGTGCAGTGGCACAATATCAGCTCATTGCAACCTCTGCTTCCTGGGTTCAAGCTATTCTTCTGCCTCAGCCTCCCGAGTAGCTGAGACTACAGGAACATGCCACCAGACCTGGCTAGTGCCCAGTACTTCAGGAGCCCGAGGAGGGCAGATCACGAGGTCAGGAGTTCTAGACCAGCCTGGCCAATATGGTGAAACCCCGTCTCTACTAAAAATACAAAATCAGTTTTTAAAATCTCAGGTTAATCAGGAAGGCCAGGAAGAGTGAGTGGGATTACAAGTGTCTGAAAACCAAGGATTGTGAGCAATAAAAAAGTGGAGAGATCCAGACCAGATGCCAGCAGGGATGGGGAGAAATTCTACCCAAAATCTGATGGGTGCAGAAACACATCTACTCATGCCTAATAATTTTTTTATTTGTTTCACTCCTAGCACTTTGGTCTACCTGATCCTTTCTAACAACTAACACAGATCCTCAGTCACCATTCCCAGTCCATTATTCCCCTGCCCACACTCTTTTCACCTGCAGGACAACCTCTCCCCTCCATGCCCCAATATTCTCCTCCATCCCATTCACCCTTTGAAACGAGCCGATAAACTAATCATAGTGGCATCGTGGCTGTTAAGGCTCGGTGCAATAGCTTCCTGGGGTGTTGTGTTTTAATAGAGAACAAGAAGCCTTCTGATAAGAGAATACATCCCCAACTGTGGCATTTCCAATAAGATACTGCAGGAAGAGGATATGTTTTTCAAGAACAGCAAGCATCCCGATGGCTCCCATCTGCCTGGTGAGCTGCTTCTCTGCCTTCGTCTCAGGTTGGCCCTGCCTGTGTTTCCCCAGTGTCATTGCCTGCAGTCAATCTCCTTTCTAAAATAAATCCCAGAACTAGCTATGTCTTTGTCCTTTTCTGACATCTGAAGACTGGCATGATCTGAAAGCAATCTATGCCCTCTCGCCTCAAACACTCTCTAAAAGGAAATATCTAAAAATATCTAAAAGCAAATTCCTGCATCCCTAGAAATCTACCATGGCAAAACACGCACACGCGCGCGCGCACGCACACACACACACACACACACATATAATGATTGTAGGACCAAAATAAAAAATCTACGGCATTTTTCCTTGGTGGTACCCATTGGGTTAATCAAATTTCATCTAAAATAAGTCATCTCGACCCCCAGGCAGTCACCAGGAAGAAATTTAAGTTCAGTAGTGATTCAGAATCAGAGGATAAACACAAACATGTGTCTTTGGCACACAGAGAAAGCCTGGGGACAGGATGTGGTTGCAAAAGGAATATTTCCCCTTTAAGCCACTGGTTTTGTGAGACGTTTGGTAAGAAAAGATTAAGAGGTAATTTTCCTCTGAGGGCTTACAGGAAATAATTTATGAACGTAAATAGCTACCAATGTTACTGAAAGTTAGAGGATGCTTAGGTTTGTTAGTTGTCATTAGTGTAATAAGAACAGACTTATAGACAGTTCACAATATTACAAAGTAAGTTAAATAAATTAAATGCCCTATTAACACTGCATTTCAATGTAATGTTTCCTTGTTATTACCATAGCAAATAATAATGCAAAAAATTATTCCTAGAGGATTCTTTCTAGGTTGCAGACCAAAAAAAGGTGGCAGCGGTGGGGGGAGCTTATAGAAGAAAAATAAACTTAAGAAATAAATACCTAAGTTTATAGTTTGAGCGTTTGGTTAAATAGTGGTGTAATTTACCAAAATCTAAAGTAGGGAAGATGGGCAAGAACAGGTTAGGGAGCAGGATGGTGAGGATTAAGGCAGATTCTGCTTTGGACATGTTCTGTGTGAACTGCCTATAGAAAATTCAAAAAGAAAGGTCAAGTACACAGTTGGGTATACAAATTTAGAACTCTGTAGAAGTTTAGGCAAGTGACATCAATGTAGAAGTCATCCATATATAAATAGTATTAAAGTAAAGGGACAAAAATGAAGACAGAGAAAGATCCTGGCCAAGACCTGGGGTTCATTGCAGTGTATCTGTATTATTCTGTTCTCACCCTGCTAATAAAGACATACCCGAGGCTGGGTAATTTATAAAGGTAAAAGGTTTAATTGATTCACAGTTCCACATGGCTGGGGAGGCCTCACAATCATGATGGAAGGCCAATGAGGAGCAAAGTCACCTCTTACATGGTGGTAGGGGAGAGAGAGTTTGTGTAGGGGAATTCCCCTTTATAAAATCATTGGATCTCCTGAGACTTAATCACTATCACAGCACAGGAAAGATCCGCCTCCCCATGATTCAACTACCCTCCACTGGTCCTTCCCACCACACGAGGGAATTATGGGAGGTACAATTCAAGATGAGATTTGGGTGGGGACGCAGTCAAACCGTATCAGTATCCATATAAACATAGAGCACAAGGAAAAGCCACAATAAAACTTTTTTTTTTTTTTTTTTTTGTTTTTTAGATGGAGTGTTACTCTGTCATCCAGGCTGGAGTGCAGTGGCACAATCTCGGCTCACTGCAACCTCCGCCTCCCAGGTTCAAGCGATTCTCCTGCCTTAGCCTCCCGAGTAGCTGGGATTACAGACACATGTCATCATGCCCGGCTAATTTTTGTATTTTTAGTAGAGACGGGGTTTCACCATGTTGCCCAGGCTGGTCTCGAACTCCTGACCTCAGGTGATCTGCCCGCCTTGGCCTCCCAAACTGCTGGGATTAGAGGCTTGAGCCACCACGCCCGGCCAACAAAACCTATTTTGCCTGTTAAGGAGTTCTCAGCCATCTTCAAATCATTAGATTCAAGGATCAGTTGGCATCTCAGGAACCCTCAAAATGGATAATGGGCAAGAGTTTAGTGAAAGAGTTAGTTACCAGTATGTGATTTGGTTAACAACAACAGGGCAGGGCAAAGCACCACGTTTCTGCAAACACTACGAGCCAGGGCCTGAAGGGGCTGCAACAGAAGGAAGTTGTCATCCAGGACCCAGCCAGAACCACAGCCACGGGAGAGGTGTCCTGCAAGGGGTGTGCTCCTCAGGACATGAGCACAGCCACTGCAGAGCCCCTGGACCTCCAGCTTCTCTATCTCCTCAAGTCTCCTCTTCACCAAACCCAGCGGAGATCAGCGCACAAGGCATTGCCAAGATGGTCCCGGAAATCATTCTCCCCGGGGACAAGGCCAGGGAGAATAGATGTAGATGGGGAGACAGAGAATCCCCAGCATATATTATTAGTGTAAATAGTTACAATTGACCATATGTAGGTGGTTACTGTCAGAAAGTGGACGCTTATATGCTGTTCAGTCTTTGCCATTCAAATGGCAAACTTTTCAAACTGGAGCAGAGTCGTCTAGCTCAGTTTTGCCTGTAATTATCTTTCTCTCTAAGGCAGCATCTGTACCATACCTTGCTTCCCACGTCCATTTCCATCCACTAGGGCAACACGGGCCCCATGCTTGTTTGTCAGAGGTTCGCTCTGTGGGGCGTCATGTCACGTGGAGTTCTGGACAGGGCGAGGCCCCTGAGGCTCTGACTCTTCTCTGCCCACAGCCCTGGGCTCTCTGTGCCTCGGGGCCACGTGTCCTCATCCAGCCTCGCAGCCAGGAACTGGAAACTCCCTCAGATTAACATCAAGTTCAATGCCAAATTCCTGGGAAAAAGCCCAGGAAACCATGAGTGTCTCCCAGGGTCCTGAGACTGAACAAGAGTGACTCGCAGAGACCCGCTGTCTTTTGCTTCCACGCCCCCACCCCCAGGGCTTTCTTGGCACCCCAGGGATTTATCTCCATCTGACCTTATCTTTCACACAGTTGTTCTGACTCATACTCCTCTTGGTGTTTACAGATCCCTCCATGACATGTAGTATTTATTTTTTACACAGGTTGTTCTTTAACTTTAAATCTAATTTAAATTTAACTAGCCGTGTGGCCACCGTATTGGGCAGTGAGGGCTTAGGCAGTCTCACTCACTAGCTGCGATGTTCACACCTGCCCCAAGAAAATCTCATTTTTTAATGGAAAGAAGTTAACAATTAACAAGTTAATCTTGTTCAGGTACTCTGCTGAGTGCCACTGTATACGTTATCTCATTCAAAACTCACCTCAGCTTCGTGACTAAAGAAAGTGAGGTTTGTCAAAAATCTCACTTTTTGAAGTGAGTTAGTGATGAAGGTTGGATTTGAACTCAGATATATGTTGTATCTTTTTAAGTTAGGTTTTTTTGTTCTATTTTCCCAGGGTTGCCATATAGTATAGTAGTTAAGATCCGAGCTTTGGAGGCAGGTAGGTCAGTTCTGCAGATTAGTTACTTGTGGCCTTGGGTTAGTTATCCAACCTGTCTAAAGCATCCTTTCTTCATTTGCAAAGAGGAGATAAAACAAGTAGCTCCTTTACATATTATGTGTGTTATATAACATTCTAGGTGTATTTCATGATGTAATACTTATATGCAGAACTTAACAACAATTTAATATTATTGTTAGTTATATGTAAAAAGTCATTTCAAATCATTCTTTAATTTAATCATTAAAGGAGAATCCCAAGGGCCTCTACCCAGCCACAATTTCTTGAACTCCTTGGAGATGATGGTTAAGAAGAAAGCATAATGCTCTCTATCTCATTTGATAAAAATCTTCAACAAGGGAAAAAATCAAAGCCTCTCTTGGCTCTGAAAGCATTTTTTCAGTTGTTTAAAATTTATGATTCAAGGGTTGTTTGGTTTTGCCTGCCATAATAATCATGGGAGGGTGTAAGATTTCGCCATAATAATCATGGGAGGGTGTAAGATTTCAACAACTATCTGCCATGAAGGCAAACATTTTCCTGTGTGCCAGGCCCTGGCTGATCTTGACAAGACACAGAGCTTTGAGTCTCAAATCAAGAGGTCACTGGAGCTTTAGCAGTCACCTGCAGCCACTGGGAAACGTGGTCTCAGAGTCCTAGGATTGCTCTCAGGAGAAGAAATCTTAAAGATTAGTCTTTTCAATCCCCTCACCCCGAAAGCCAAGGATGCAAGCACGTAACATTTAAAAAAATATTTGGCCCTGTGTTACTGTTCTGTCAAATATCAGGCATTACCAGTATTTTACATTAATTCCATTATTTTTTTCCAGAAGATTGTATCACAGTTAGCTAGACATATATCCATGATGGTATAATCCTGTTGACTCCTATTAAATTCTGGGAAATTGCTGACTGTTCTTCAGAAAGCCAAGAGTATTTCTCATGTGAGGGTTTTCTAAACAAACTCAACTGAGATTTTCACAGTTCATGTGTCAGGTGGTTATGTGGAAGAGTGCAAGGATCAAATAGCCCACAATGCCTCAGACCGGCCCACAACATATGTAGCTTTGATATAACTCAAGGACAGTGGGACGCTGGCAGGGTGGCAAGGGACAGTCACTGTGCTATACAGTGTAAAAAATTTCAAAAGTCAAATTTCTCTTTTGTCAGTTTCAAAATGACTGGCTGACTCATGCTAGTTCAATGGGCTAAAAAAGCCACAAAAATCTCAAAACCGTTGCTGATTCAGAGCAAAATGATGGTCTACAGCCTTTCTAGAGATAGGGCTTAAATTTGTGGAACATGTCTATTATGATGGGCGATAATCTTGATCACATTTAACATTAAAAGTAGATTTATGAGTGATGATGTAAGAAGATGCTGAGCAGGAAGGAACTCTGAGACTGGAGCTTCAGATGCTTGAGGATGAAGTGAATGGTCCTTTCATCCTTGCCCAGAGTGTCTCTGTCCCTCTCTCCACATGGAGACAGGTGACAGTAAAAGAAAAGCCCTGAGGTTTGCTAGGAGCTGGGGTCAGGTGCATCCTAAGATCTACCTCTTCCTGTCACCTTCTGAACATTTTTTATTAGTGGAAACATTATTTTTCTTCCATACAATGAAGTCAGTATCTTCTTTATTTTTTATTTTATTTTATTTTTTGTGAGATGGAGTCTCGCTTTGTCATGCAGGCTGGAGTGCAGTGGCACAATCTCAGCTCACTGCAACCTCTGCCTCCCGGGTTCAAGTGATTCTCCTGCCTCAGCCTCCAGAGTAGCTGGTACTACAGGTGTGTGCCATCACGCCTGGCCGTAGAGATGGGTTTTCACCATGTTAGCCAGAATGGTCTTGATCTCCTGACCTCGTGATCCACTCGCCTAGGCCTCCCAAAGTGCTGGGATTACAGGCATGAGCCACCCCGCCCGGCCAAAGTCAGTATCTTAATTTAAAACCAGTGTTTGTGGTTCTGATTCAACTGCTACAGTTCCTCATGCAGTTTGAGAACAGAGGAATACACATTCTGTTGCTATGACAAGATGACTAATAATAAAGAAGATCTATTACTAACACAATAGTGGTCCAAGTCTTGGAGAAAGTTTTGCAGATTGGAGTTAAATTTAATGCAATTTAATCTGATAATTTTTTTAACTTACTGCTGAATATGGGTCCAGTCATTTACCAGAAAAGTCAGAAAGACAGGAATAAAAAAACCAAAGGTATTTGGCAGGATAAATTATCAACTGGAACACAGGCTTTTAGTAATAGATCAGAACAACACATGGAGGGAGTATCAGTTTCTCACAGCAGTCTTTTCATAGAAAAAATGGGCAGGTGCTATCAAACTTTCACCAAACATGGTGACTATGCCATACTGGGAAGGATGGCAAGCTTCAGAAACTACTGCCATGTTAAAAGATGAAGGTACTCCTAGTGATGTTGAGGAAGATATCATTTTGGAAACAAACAAAGAAATTAACAAAGATATCCAGTGACACTATGATATTGCAAATACTTTCACTATTTTTGCTAGTTGGTTTTGGAATATTTTCAGTTGGCATTATGTTAGATATAGTACAACACTGAGAAATTTCAATGGTTTGAGACTTGAGGAGATGTTGGGATGAGGTCAATACATTTTGCATGTAGAGTGGACATAGATCTTTGGGGATCAGAGCATGGACTGTGGTAGACAGAATATGCCATCCCCCAATGATGTCCATGCCCTAATCCCCCAGAACCTATGAATATGTTACCTTACATGGCACAGGGGCCATGTTGATGTGATTAATTTAAGGATTGGAAGTAGGAACATTATCCTGCATTGTCTGCATGGGTCCAGTGGAATCACAAGGTCCCTTATAAGAAGGAGGCAAAAGGGTCAGAGTAAGAGAGATGTGATGATGGAAGCAAAGATCAGAGAGATTTAACATACTACACTGCCAACTCTGAAGATGGAGGTAGGGACCATGAGCCAAGGAATACAGGTGGCCTCTAGAAGTTGGAAAAGGCAAAGAAACATTTTTCCCCTACAGCCTCCTGAAGGAATGCAGCCCTGCTGACACCTTAAATTTAGGACTTCTGATCTCTAAAATTGCAGTATAATAAATTTGTGTTGTTTTAAGTTACTAAGTTGGTGGTAACTTGCAATAGCAGCAATGGGAAATTAATACGAAGTGTTCAAAAAGGTTACAGAAGTTTTCATTTTAATTTCTGCACTTCTTGTTCTCCATGAAAACTTGGAAATGACATTGGCATCAAGGTTAACCACTGCAGTAAATGTAGGGAAGATGGATTCACCCGTTGAAAAGTAGAACCTAGGAATTGGCAGTTTGGCCTTAAAGCAGATTCCGGCAACTGTAGTGGGTTTTCTTGCAGCTGTAGCAGCAATTATTTTGGGCTGGATTCCAGAAGGAAAATAAAACTTTGATCATTCCATCATTTTGTGCTCTAACAGAGAGAAAACTACCTTCCATGCATCTCTTCTGCAGAGAATAATAATAGTTTAGGTTATTGTTGGTTCAAAGAAGAATGGTATAAATTCTGTTAATGTCACTACAGCCATTGCTGCTAGTTTTGGCAACCTTACAACTCTATTTTTATCTTGAATAAGTCAGAGTCTAATACTCCTGTCTTGAGACTTATTACTACGTATTAGTTGGTGCCTTTTTCTCTGCCCTAACTCCCATCTGAATTGTAATGACTGCCAAACATTCAACCACATTGGCAGTTCTCCAATCGGTCTCAGGGCCTGCCCTAAGAGCCAGGATTGTAAGTGGCACTGGGCCTTACTCTGGAAACATGTGTATCTGACCCAATGTAATTAGGATTATTGCTATATACTAATAATATTGGTAGTAATTGGGCGGTTGTCGATGCTAGCAGGATTTCTACCTAACTCAATTTGCGTAGCACCCACGATAATTGTCTGATGAACTCAAAGGTTGTTATTACCCACTTAGGACATTTTTGTTCCAAAAGTAATAGGTCTGCTGAAGTTTTATTGATTTTAGTGATTCCAGGGCATTTTATTCCTTTACACTTTCACTTGTTAAAAAAAAAAATCCTACTTCTTCAACTGTAATCTTCACCGTAATTTACTTATTTGCTTCTGTGTCACAGGTATTTACCTTGTTATGAATTTCTGACAGGATAGCCCATCACTTCTGGAATCAAGAAAAGAACCCTGATAATTTCTTCATCCCATATCTTTTTTTTTTTTTTTTGATACGGAGTCTTGCTCTGTTGCCCAGGCTGGAGTGCAGTGGCGCAATCTCGACTCATTGCAAGCTCCGCCTCCCGAGTTCACGCCATTTTCCTGCCTCAGCCTCCCGAGTAGTTGGGACTACAGGTGCCCGCCACCATGCCCGGCTAATTTTTTTTTTTCTTTTGTATTTTTAGTAGAGACGGGGTTTCATCGTGTTAGCCAGGATGGTCTCGATCTCCTGAACTCGTGATCCACCCGCCTTGGCTTCCCAGAGTGCTGGGATTACAGGCGTGAGCCGCCGCGCCCAGCCTCTTCATCCTGTATCTTATGGAATTGGTTGATCTGTCTGGGTCAGCTTTATTAGCCTTAAGTGTTCATTTTCAGTGGTTTGTTAGAGACTGAGATCAAGATGTTAGGGACTAATAAATCCTGCTAAATCTTCTCAGATGATCAAGGAGAAAAACGTACAGCTCCTTGCCAAAAATTTTAAGCCAATAATTTGTCTTTTTCCAGGAAAGATTTGGTTGGCCCAGATTAAATTAAATGACCTTCTCTTCTTTAAAGAAAGGAATTGGTGTTGAACTATAATGAATAGTATTTGTGATGCCTTTCATAATATAAATGATAATTTGACATTGACAAGGATACAAATTTCAATCTCTGGAATTAATTAAATGGGAAAGGATACAGGATTTTGCAATGAATAATTTTGGAACCACACACATAGAAGAAATGTACTTTATCATTGTTTAATTTGTAATGTAAGGTTAGGAGAAATAGACCTCGAGTTTAACTTTCCTTATCTTACAGATGTATTGTACTTCAAAGCAAACTATAAAAATAAGGAGGCCAAGCCAAGCTTTTTTACCTTCATGCCAACTGAGGAGAAATTTAACAATTGCTGATTAACAAAAAAATAGATAAGTTTCGCTAACCTAAAAAATGTTCTGCTGAGTAAAAGATAAACTCTGTTTCACCTGCATCTATCAATTGTCATGAAAGACTTCATGGAAAGCTGCACTTTTAATTTTTTTCAAATTGATACAGGGTCTTGCCTTGTCTCCTAGGCTGGAGTACACTGGCATGATCATGGCTCACACAGCCTCAACCTTCTGGGCTCAAACAATCCTCCTGCCTCAGCCTCCCCAGTAGTTGGGACTACAGGCATGTTCCTCATGCCCAGCTAATTTTTTATTTTATGTAGAGACAGGGTCTCACCATGTTGCCTGGGCTGCTCTCCACCTCCTGGGTTCAAGAGATTCTTCTGCCTCAGCCTCCCAAAGTACTGGGATTACAGGCATGAGCACCGTGCCTGGCCGAAAGCTGCACTTCAAATATAGAATGCCCTTGAGAGATCTTTAATTACAGCAAGGGCTCATTTTTGATTATTGATTTGTAAAATTATAATTGATTTTTTTCCCTGAAAACTTTTAAGTAGTCAAAAACAGAAGATAACCTCAGTTGTGCTCATAGAGACAGTATGGCATGAGAAGTTGTGCATATGTGCATGAATAGATGTGTGTGTGCATGCTTTTAACAGAGAGAAAGAGATTAAAAATGTTGCTTTTGTTGTAAAATTAAACCTTGGATTGATGATAGCAAAGATCTTAGTGCTATTGGAATAGCATCATTATGAAATTATTTCTTCACACTTATCATTGGTATGCTTTTGTCATTTGTCTAAAAATTTTGCTATTGGCCAGAATGTAATATTTGTTATCTGTGTAATCAATAGTTTCTTCTAATTAAAAATAAACTATACCATTTAATATAACCAAAATATAAACAAGATTTATAATGAGCAAGTGATTTATTTGCTTTTGAAAGAAGTCCATAAAACTCTTAGCTTACCCTTCTTTAAAAGAAAAATTGGTAGTTCTTCTCTACTATTGTACATGCCTACAAACATCATTCATTTGCACACATTTGTTTCCAAGCAGGGGTTCTATCATACACTTCTATGTTTTTCCAGTACCTTTTAAAAAAACTCTAATCTA
The DNA here is from genome assembly GCF_000001405.40 of Homo sapiens. Taxonomy (NCBI): domain Eukaryota; kingdom Metazoa; phylum Chordata; class Mammalia; order Primates; family Hominidae; genus Homo; species Homo sapiens. The sequence continues at coordinate 11,330,411 of NC_000018.10, forward strand.
TATTCTAAACACTTGAACCAACAAATTAATTATTTAGTAGTTAAGCATTTTATATAATGCCTAGTTCATTTTTTAAAAATACAGTAGGGGTTGTTTAGGTCCATTAATCAAATAAAGGAAAGAAAAAAAAATCGTGTTAACTTTTATTCTTGTGGTACAAGTTTTGTGTTAGTGTCGGCATGATCTAAATAGTAGGTTGTTTATATTGAACAAAGTGTGCCTGTTAAACTCTTTAAAACAAGGAAAATATGTTTTAAAGTTTATATTTTTGCTTATTTTTAAACTTTAAGTATTCCACTCTCTGTCTTGTAATGAAGCTTCCAAGGCAGAAAACAAATTTAATAATAAATTTTTTCCTCTAGAAAGTTATAATGTTGTATAGTAAACATTCTTATAAAATAATAATGATGTTTAAGTTAATGAATATTTATCTTTTTGCCTAATAGATTTCTTTTTTTTGAACAGTTTTGAATTTGAGTTCTTATTGCTCTACATTCTCACCAGCCTTTGGTGTTGTTAGTTTTTTGGATTTTGGCCATTCTGATAGGTATACAATGGTCCAGGCTCATTATCTCTTATCTGAAATGCTTGAGACCAGAAGTGTTTCAGATTTTGGACCCTTTTGGATACTGGAATGTTTGCATATACATAATGAGATATTCTGGGGATGGCACTCAAGTCTAAATAAGAAATTCATTTATATTCCATATACACCTTTTATACACATAGCCAGAGGGCAATTTTATACAAACTTTTAAATAATTTTGTATATTTGCAAGAAACAAAGTTTGTTTACATTGAACCAGTAGAAAGCAAAGGTGTCACTATCTCAGCCATCCATGTGGGCAACCTGTGGTCACTATCTCAGCCACGATGTAAACAGTAGTTTATTTCTCTGTTTCTTCAGGTCATTTAGGGTGGTTATTCCATTGTTGTTTCAATTTGCAATATCCTAATAACATAGGATGTCGAACATTTTTTCATATGTTTATTAACCATCTGCATATCTTCTCTAGTGAATGTATATTCAGATCTTCTGCCCATTTTAAAATTGGGTTGTTTGGTTTCTTATTGTTGAGTTTGAAGAGTTCTTTGTATATTTTAGATAACAGTCCTTCATCAGATGTGCCTTTTGCAAATATGTTCTCCAGGTCTTTGCTGCTTCTCTCATTCCCTTATCAAAACTTTTGCAGAGCAGAAGTTTTGAATTGTAATAGAGTCCAGATTGTCAATGATTTCTTTCATAGATTGTGCCTTTGATGTTGTATTTTTAAAGTCTTCATCATGCACAAAGTCATCTGGATTTTCTCTTACATTATCTTCTAGTAGTTTTATAGTTTTGCATTTTACATGTGGATCAATGGTCCATTTTGAGTTAATTTTTTGTGAAGGGTATAAAGTCTGTGTGTGGATTCATTCTTTTTACACGTTGATGTCCAGTTACTCCGGCACCATTTGTTGAAAAGACTATCTTTGCTCCACCATATTGTCTTTGCTTCTTTGTCAAAGATTAGTTGACTTTATTTATGTGGGTCTATTTTGGGGCTCTCCGTTCTGCTCCACTGATGCATTTGTCTAATATTTTGCCAATACCACATCATTTTGATATCTGCTGCTTTGCAGTAGGTCTTAAAGTCAAGTAATGTCAGCCTAACAACTTTGTTCTTCTCTTTAAGCATTTTATTGGCTACTCTGAGTCTTTTGCCTCTCCTTATGTACTTTAAATCAGGTTTAAATGTCCACAAAGTAACTTGCTGAGATTTTGTTTGGAATTGCATTGATTCTATAGCTCAAGTTGGGAAGAACTGGCATTTTGACACTATTGAGTATTTCTATGCATAAATATGGAACATCTCTCCATCTATTATTTGACTTCTTTCATCAGAGTTTTGTAGTTTTCCTCATACAACTCTTACAATATTTTGTTACATTTATACTTAAGTATTTTATTTTAAGGATCCTAACTAAATGGTATTATGTTTTTAACTTCAAATTCCTATTGTTTATTGCTTGTATATAGAAAAATATTGCCTTTTGTATATTAATCTTGTATCCTACAATCAATATAATGCCTTATTAATTTCAAGAATGTTTTGGTTTGTCAATTCTTTTGGATTATCTACACAGAAAATTATGTAATCTTCAAACAAAGAACAGTTTTATTTTTTCCTTCCCAATCAGTATACCTTTTATTTTATTTTATTTTCTAATAACATTAGCTAAGATTTCCCATATGATGTTGTAAAGGACTGGTGAGAGGAGACATCTTTGCTTTGTTTCTGATCTTGGCAGGAAAACTTCTTGTTTCTTACCATTATAAGTACTTAATATTAAGCACCATTAAACAGCTGTAGGCTTTTGTAGCTGTTCTTTATCAATATGAGGAAGTTCCTTTCTATTCCAAGTTTGCAGAGCACTTTTATTATGAATGGGTGTTGAATTTCATCAAATCTCTTTTCTGCATCAATTAACATGATCATGTGATTAATATGCTTTAGTCTGTTGATGATTTGTATTAATTAACTTCTGAATGTTAATCTTGGGATAAACTCCACTTGGTTGTGGTCAATAGTTCTTTTTATAGTTATACTTATCCAATAATAGTTCATTGTTTGATTCAATTTGCTAATAATTTGTTGAGAATTTTTGCATCTATGTTGAGAAGAGATTTTTTCTGAAGGGTAATACTGGCCTCATAGAGTGAGTTAGTTAATATTCCCACTGCATCCGTCTTCTAGAAGAGAATGTAGAGAATTGGTATAATTTCTTCCTTAAATGTTGGTAAAATTCACCAATAAATTCATCTAGGCCTAGTGTTTTCTGTTTTGGAAAATTAATAATTATTGATTCTTTAGTAGATATAGGCCTGCTCACACTGCATATTTTTTTCTTGTGTGACTCTAACAGATTATGTCTTTCAAAAAATTGGTTAATTTCATCTAAGTTATCAAATTTGACATCAGGCATAGAGTTGTTTATAGTATTCTTTATTATCCTTTGATGTCTATGGGATTTATAGCGTTACCCCTTGCATTTCTGGCAGTAATCTGTGCCTTTTAGTCTTAGTTATCACAGGTAGACACATCAATTTTATTGATCTTTTCAAAAAACCAGCTTTTGGCTACATTGATTTTCTCTATTGACTTCTTGTTTTCAGTTTATTTGACTACTGCTCTAATTTTTCTCCTTTCTTTTCTTCTGCTTATTTGGGATTTAATCTGCTCTTCTTTTTCTAGTTTCCTATAGCAGAAGCTTAAATTATACATTTTAGATTTTTCTTCTTTTTTAATATATGCATTCAATGCTATAAATTTCCTTCTAAGCACTGCTTTAGCTACATCCCACAAATTTTGATAAGCTGTATTTTCATTTAGTCCAAAGTATTTTGTTTCTCTTGAGATTTCTTCTTTGATGCATGTGTTGTTTAGAAGTATGCTATTTAATCTCCAAGTATTTGGGGATTTTCCAGATATTTTTCTGTTATTGATTTCTAGTTTAATTCCACTGTCATCTGAGACAACACATTGGATGATTTCTATTCTTTTAAACTTGCCAAGGTGTGTTTATGTTCCAGAATATGGTCTGCCTCGGCAAATGTCCCATGGAAGCTTGAGAAGAATGTGTATTCTCCTGCTGTTAGATCAAGTAGTCAGTAGATTTCAATGTCAACTACCTTTATTGATTCAGACAATTTATGATTAAAGAGATTATTGATATAGCTGGATTAACGTCTACCATGTTTATTACTATTTTCCTTTTTTAAAATTATACTTTAAGGTCTGGGATACATGTGTAGAATGTGCAGGTTTGTTACAAAGTTATGCACGTGCCATGGTGGTTTGCTGCACCCATCAACCCGTCATCTACATTAGGTATTTCTCCTAATGCTATCCCTCTCCTAGCCCCCAACCCCCGCACAGGCCTGGTGTGTTCTCATTGTTCAAATCCCACTTATGGGTGAGAACATGCTGTGTTTGGTTTCCTGTTCTTGTGTTAGTTTACTGAGAATGATGGTTTCCAGCTTCATCCATGCTGCCTCATGAACATAAGCTCAGATGTGTTTGAAAGGACTTGTACACAGCAAAATACATTTTTATCTTTATTGTTCAGCAGCTACTTCAGAAACCAATGACAAAAGGCCAAATACTTTAACAAAATATATTCTTATTCCTCTAGTCACTTAGAAAATATGGATTACAGAAGCTGACAGTCAGGAATTGTGGATAAGAACCAAAATATATCCACAATGATATCACATCCTAGAGGTTGCAATATGCACTTACATCTAGTTCAAGTTCACCTTCAAATAACACTATACTGCTTCACAGGTAGTGTGAGTACCTTATAATAACAAAATTTCCTAATTCTTTCCTTCTGCCCCTTGACTCATTGCTGTTATTCATGTCATTTACACATCAAATATTGTAATCATTGAATACATTGTCACCACTATTATTCTGACCAAACTCTTATGTTAGATCAATTAAGCATAAAAAAAAAGTTTTTATTTTATCCTTACTTATTCCTTCTCCATTGCATTTCATATCTTTATGCAGATTCAAATTTCTGACCTATATCATTTTCCTTTTTCTGAAAAACTTCTTTTAACATTTCTTGCAAGGCAGGTCTATTAGTAATAAATTCCCCAATTTTTGCTTTTCTGAGAAAGTCTTTAGATCTCCTTCACTTTTGAAAGATAATTTTACAGATAACATAATTCTAGGTTGGTAGAACATTTTTCTCTCTCAACATTTTAAATATTTCATTTCACTATTTTCTTGCTTGCATCATTCTTATATTTGCATCTGTATACATAGGTGGATTTTTTTCCCATCTGGCATCTTTCAAGATTTCTTCTTTATCTCTGATTTTCTGCTATTTGAAAATGATAGGCCTAGGTGTCATTTTTGGGGCATTTACCCTGGTTGCATTCTATAAGCTTCCTGAATATGGCCTCAATTTGGGATTATTCTCAGTTGTTATTGCTTCAAATACTGCTCTGTTCTTTCCTCCCTTCTTCTGGTACTCCCATTACATGTATGTTACACTTTTTTTGGTTGTTCCACAGCTTTTAGAAATTCTGTTCCTTTTTTGTTTTAGTTTTTTTTTCCTGTTACTTTTAGTTTTGAAAGTTTTGATTGGCACATCTACAATATCAGAGATTCTTTCCTCAGCTGTGTACAGTCTGCTAGTAAGCCCATCAAAAAACATTTTTCATTTCTGCTACATTTTAAATTTTAACGCATAACTTTGCAAATATCAATATAAGCACTCTTTGATTTCAGGGAAAGACACTATGAAATAGCAAAACCCAAAAAAACTCCCCCTTGGTATCCTGTAACATTTAATGAAGCTAGTTATATGCAGGTAAACTCTTCTAATTCAGGTAAGAAAGCATTCAATACTAAGTATCCCAGTGAAAAGAAACACAGACTTGCTTCACTAGTGCCAGACTCAAAGTGAAGATCTGATCAATGCAGGGAGACTGTTAAAGGTGTAGCATTCTGCAAATGACACACAACCATATGTCACATAATGATGTTTTGGTCAATGAGAAAACACATATATGATGGTGGTTCCATAAGATTATAATACCACATTTAAATACTTACACTTGTGTTCTAATTGCCTGCAGTAACTGGTAGAGTAACATGCAGTGCAGGTTTGTAGCCTGGAGTAATATCGCCTAAGTGTGTGGAAGGCTGTACCATCTAGGTGTGTATAAGTGCACTCTGTGATGTTCACATGACCATGAAATCACCTAACTATGCATTTCTCAGAAGGTGTCCCCATTGTGAAGCAATGCGTGGCTATATTTTGTTTTAAGCTCTATTGTAACGTACACTGCAGTCAGATTCAGTCTAAGAGAGTTGGTGCTAGGAGGTGACCTAGAGAACAGATTCTATGATGGGATTTAAGGGCAGGTCACTCACTGGCAGGCTGACTTTGAGGACACCATCTCTGGTGGTTGGCAGAGTCTGCATAGCCTCTGGCATGCTCTAGTGGGATGACTGTTCATTTTTTCACCGGTGTTGAAATGAGATGGTGTACCAGTGAAAGGGGATACACTGGCTGATGCAATGTCTTGCCCTTGAGAGGACTGAAGGAAAGGCTGAGTGTAAGGACTATGGGATTTCACTAATGTGGGGAGTACCATCGATTCTTTGAAGAGAAATAAAAATAGAGATGGGAAATTAGTAAATACTTTACAAAAACAGACAGGCCCCTTGGTAGTATTAAATAAAACCCTGCAGCTGAAGGATAGAGTAAATAACCAAGTTCAGGGCTTCATCATAAAAATAGCAGAGCTTCAGAGAAGGTTGAATTATCAGCCTGGCAAGTCCCCTACACCAAGGTCAGAGCTCCAGTAATGAAGGAAAAAACAGTGAAAGTTAGGATGGGAATAACATATGGATACAATTCAGAATTTCAAATTCCCAGATTCTCGTGGACCCACTGGCCCTGCAGAAGTGGCCCACTTCCCCTGGTCAGAAGGTGACTGTCCCAGTAGTTTGATGATCATGCAGAGGCCTCAGTTGAGGCAGATTCTTTATGAGACATTCTTGCATCCTCTCAGGATAAGCCCCTACCTTCTCTCTTGACAACCAGACCATTAACCAGGATCAAATTCCAGAAGACCAACTGGGCATGTGAAGGCCTGTGAAGGAAAGAAAGGGATAAAATGCCAAAGAGGCCACATAATCCAACTAACACGAACCTTCAGGATTTGGGAGAGCATCAATAGGACTTGCTGGTGAGAGTGTTTCCTCAAGGGGAGTGGATCTTACAGGTGGGTAAGTGATGGTAATGCACACATCTTCTGAGGGTTGCTGGACATGGTATCTGAGTTGCATCGACAGACAAAGACCCAAAGCACATCATGGCCCCTCTTGCAGAGTAGACATATATAAGGGTCACATCATAATTGGAAGTATCAGGTCCAGCTCACAGTAGGTTCACTGGGTCCACAGACACACCCACACCAACTACCCAGCCCTAAATATATAATTGTAGGACTCATCTTGACAGGATCAATACATTTTGTTTCCTATCTGTGGTGCTTCAGTCGGCACCATTGAGAATGTTTAGAGCATGAAAATGCTTTTAATGATTCCATGCTAAAAAATAGAACTTTACTTATTTCCACGTGTAATGGAGACTGCTTACTGAAATTTTCTTGCAATTTTCATGCTACAACTGGGAGGTAAATATTATATCTAAGCCACCTCTCCCTCAAAAAAGAACAAACAGTAATAAGTTTTATAAGAAATCACGGCAGGTTGGAACATAGGAGAAATTTCCTTGGTATTGCTCCATTTAGTAGCTAGTGAATAAAATTTATTGAAAGGAGTTTTGGAACACTTTGAAATGAATTCCACAAAATAAAAGTAGAAAAATATTTATTTTAAAATGTGACTCTTAATTGCTGAAGAATACATTTTTATCTCTTTGCAATAAATTAATCATTTGGTTCATTCAGATCCAGAAGCTAATATACAGAAGCAAAGAGGTAAATCTTAATGTACCTGTACATATTTAAAGCTCTTTGAAATATTCCAAACTGTAAAGCATATTGATTTCAGCACTGAAACAGGTCCTAGTTACCTGAGATTGTGTCCAACATCACAAATTGTTTAAACAATTTAAAATAAAACATGTTTATGTAATAAACAAAAAGCTTAAAACATTTAATTAAATTTAAAAAAAATGTTTAATTGAAATATAAACATATTAATTGACCAAAACTACTTCTGTTCAATCTGAATAGACTGTATGGCAGGCACATATTATTTCTAAATATTTAATTTTGCTTATATTAAATGCTCAGAAATTTGGGTAAGGTCAGGATTAAAATGTATTCTCCTAGTTACAAGACAGAAGATTGAAGCAATTTACCATTGTCTCTGAGAAGTTTTATCAGTTTGAGAAATCATTTTATTTCTAATAAACTTGTTTCTCTACTTTTAGAGGGCTGCTCCTTTTACCATCTCAAGAAAATTCCTTTTGTTTAAGAGTCATTCCATGCAAATGTATAAATTTTCCTTAGATGATCTCTAAACAACACCAAGAAAAATTTATTCATTTAATAAGTATTAAAAAATAATTCCCTAAATTAAAAAAAACTGAGTATTATAAAATTAAAACCACCTAGTCAGCCACAATGAATCTAAAATTTTTTTTCTTACAGATTTTTTTCTAATGTTAATAAAGAACTATAACTTTAAAATGTCTTTAATCTTAAGAGGAGTTTCATTTTCCTTTACTAAAATGCTGTCATTCATATTCAGTAAAATATTGACTATTTTCCTTTTTAAGAGTTTATCACGTAAAATAGATAAAATTATAGTATGCTCTCAGGAGGGTGGGGGATTATGTAAGCTCTTTAGCTCTTTCTCTGAACTTAAATTATTGCACACAAATTTCCTTAAAATTTTTTTCTCCTCTTCTACTTCTACTTTTACCTTCAGCCAAAGGCCAAATTCATTCTCCCACCTGGAACAACTAAAAAACTGGATAAATAAATGAAAAATGTTTTTTATGTATTAGATACAAGGCACTGAGTGATGTAAAATGAACGAGGTGAGCCCTACACTTGCCCCAGCTGACTTCCTAGAGACAATTTCCAGGCAGCAACACCTCAAAAGGAGCCAAGTGAGGAAACCACTGACAGCTGGGGAAAACAGCACCCCAAAGAGCAGAAGGAACAATCCCTGATACTCACACAGGCCTAGGAATGGCTCATGCTCCCACCAGCCAGGGTGTAAAACTTCACAATTCATGGAGCATCAGGTGGAACACTCAGAAGGATACTTGACTCACAAAGCTCAAAAGGGAGCCTTGAAAATATCTAATTGTTTCTAAAACAAAGCTCAAGGATATTTATAGAAATATAAGACTATCCAATGTCCAACAAGATGAATTTCACAATTTCTGGGATCTCAGTCAAATATTTCCAGGCATGCAAAGAAGCAGAAAATGTAATCCATAATGAATAGAGCAATCAATTAATAGAAACAGACCAAGAAATGATAGAATTAAGAGACTAGCACATTAAAAAGTTATTATATTAGACAGGCAGTAGAATGGTGGTTGTCAGGGACTGGAGGGTTGGGGAATGGGAGTTATTGTTTAATGGGTATAGAGTTTCAGTTTTATAAGATGAAAAGATTTATGGAGTTGGATGATGGTGATGGTTGCACAACATTATATATGTATTTAACACCATTGAACTGTACACTTAAAAATGGTTAAGACAGTAAATTTTATGTGATGGGTATTTCAACACAGTAAAAGTCTGGAAAACAATTTTATATCTATATTCCATATGTTAAAGAAGGTAGAAGAAATATTGAGGATGTTAAGTAGGAACATAGAAGATATACAATATTCCCAATTGAAATTCTGGTAAAAACACAATGTCTGGGATGAAAAATATACTGAATAGGATAAACAGCAGAATAGACAATGCAGAAGAAAAGATTAGTAAATGTAAATACATTTAAAACAATAAATAGCAAGAAAACCTGCCAAAATGTTGAAACACAGAAGGAAAAAACACTGAAGAATAAATCTATAAAGCATCATAGAGCTATGGAATAACTTCAGAGGTCCTACTATACATGTAATTTGAATTCTTGTGGAGGAGCTCAGAGAAAAAATATTTGAAAAAATAATGGTTTAAAATTTTCCAGATTGTCTCAAACCTATACGCCCACAGATCCAAGAAGCTCAATGGAAACCCAAATATGAGACCTACACATGTTATAATCAAATTTCTAAAACCAATGATTAAAAAATTCAGGTTAAAATTATTTTTATATTACAACCACATTGCATTAGAGTTTTCCTTACCTATACATTTTGTATACATGAAATAAAGTCTGTAAATAACCCTTCAAATGGCAAGCATTACTTTTCAAATTTGAGATACAGAGAGACTACAATATAAACATGATTTAGATTACAGTCAATGTTCACCAATTCATTAATTTTGCCATTTTCCTGAAAAAAACCTATTATGGAAACCCGGTAAGTTTAAAAAACTCTCTTCTTCTTTAAGGTTAAAGAGCCCTTAGCACCAGCACTATATACATCTGCACCTGAATCCCATCAATTGTTTAGTGGTGATTTTTTGTGGGTTGGAGTTTTGGGTTTGCTTACTGGTTTTTTATTTAAAGAAAAAGAAATAAAAACAGAAGACTGACATAGATTCTTACCTAACAAGAGTGGAGTAAAACAAAAATCAAAGGTAATTAGTGAATTTAGAGAAGAAAATTCAAGTAGTAAAAAGATATTCATAAAATGACTTACGGGAGGCCTGCATAGATACTAGAGAGTGATTTCATATGATGCCAATTTACTCATATGTCTGGGCAAATATTTTAAATATTATGTGGTTAAACAGAAAAAGGAACAGATGTATCTAATATGAAAACAACATTAATAACACCTATTGTTTTCATGTATCCCATATGGCAAGTCCTTTTTGTACATTATATTTTATCCTAATACAACCATATCATATGTGAGTTATTAGTTATTAGTCCTATTATTACAAAAGTGAAGACCGAGATTTTGAGAAATTACCACTTACGCCAAAATGTAAAGCCATGCAGCATACGAAATAACACCAGATATGAGGCACGCAGCAGAGAAAGCCATAACCACCTTTCCAATGAGAGCTAAAACTCATCCAGTCTCATTCTTGAATGTCTCAACTCCTCAGAGAGTCTCTCTGACAACCCTATATTTGTTGCTTCCTCCCCATCACCCACAGGAATTTTCTATTATTGTTCCCCATAATTTGAAATTATTTCTGTATATGTTTACTTGTTCATTATCTCAGTCGGTTTAAGTTCTGTGAAGAAAGAGTTACAATGCTTTCCTCTTTATCACTCACTGCTGTATATCCAGTACAAATAACAACAACAATAACTTTATGGTGTTACATTTAGGATTCAGTAAGTACTTCTGTATTTACATCATCCAGAAGGAGGATGGAGTATGGAGTAGAAGACTCCATTTGTGTCACTTTGATGAAAACAACAATAAAATAAGAAAGTCAAAATATATTTACTGTGATAAGAACAGCAAGACATTTTTAATTACAACCAATTTGAGGCCAGGCGTGGTGGCTCATGCCTGTAATCCCAGCACTTTGGGAGCCCAAGGCAGGAGGATCACGAGGTCAGGAGATCAAGACCATCCTGGCTAACATGGTGAAACCCCAACTCTGCTAAAAAAAACACAAAAAATTAGCTGGGAGTGGTGGTGGGCACCTGTAGTCCCAGCTATTCAGGATGCTGAGGCAGGAGAATGGCTTGAACCCTGGAGGCAGAGGTTGGAGTGAGTCGAGATCGCGCCACTGCACTCCAGCCTGGGTGACAAAGCAAAACTCCATCTCAAAAAAAAAAACTTTTGAATTATCATTCAAGATTACTATACAGCAGGCTTTCCATTAAAAATAGCCTACTTTAGTGGTGTCGACGAAAAGAGTCAAACTCTGTAAAATATTTGAAGAGATTTATTCTGAGCCAAATATGAGTGACCATGGCCCATGACACAGCCCTCAGGAGGTCCCGAGAACATGTGCCCAAGGTGGTCAGGGTACAGCTTGGTTTTATATACTTTTAGGGAGGCATAAGACATCAATCAAATCCACTGAAGAAATAGATTGGTTTGGTTTAGAAAGGCAGGACAACTCAAAGTGGGGGCTTCCAGGCTATAGGTAAATTTAAATTTTCTGGTTAACAACTGGTTAGTTTATTGGGGGAACCCACCCCCAATATTTCAACATAGGTTCTTTCTATTTTCCATAAGTGTCGGCCAGCTGAGAAATAAAGACAGACAGTATAAAGAGAGGAATTTTACAGCTGGGGTGCCGGGGGTGACGTCACATATTGGTAGCACCATGATGCCCACCTGAGTCTCAGACCAGCAAGTTTTTATTAAGGGTTTCAAAAGGGGCGGGGGTGTAAGAACAGAGAGTAGGTACAAAGATCACATGCTTCAAAGAGCAAAAAGCAGAACTACTAATAACGGTCTAACAAAGATCACATGCTTCTGAGGGAACAGGACAAAGGGAAAAAGCAGAATCACTGATAAAGGTCTATGTTCAATGGTGCATGTATTGTCTTGATAAACATCTTAAACAACAGAAAACAGGGTTCAAGAGCAGAGAACCAGTCTGACCAAAAATTTACCAGGGCAGAGTTTTTCCCCACCCTAGTAAACCTGAGGGTTCTGCAGGAGACCAGGGCATATCTCAGTCCTTATCTCAACTGCACAAGACAGACCTTCCCAGAGCGGTCATTTATAGACACCCCCCCAGGAACACATTCCTTTCCCAGGGTATTAATATTAATAGTCCTTGCTAGAAAGGAATTTAGCAATATCTCTCCTACTTGCACGTCCATTTATAGGCTCTCTGCAAGAAGAAAAGTTTGGCTCCTTTGCCTGACCCCACAGGCTGTCAGACCTTATGGTTGTCTTCCCTTGTTCCCTAAAAATTGCTGTTATTCTGTTCTTTTTCAAGGTGCACTGATTTCATATGATTCAAACACATGTTTTACAATCAATTTGTACAGTTAACACAATTATCACAGTGGTCCTGAGGTGACGTACATCCTCAGCTTACAAAGATAACAGGATTAAGAGATTAAAGTAAAAACAGGTGTAAGAAATTATAAAAGTATTATTTGGGAACTGATAGATGTCCATATTAAAATGAAATCTTCACAATTTATGTTTCTCTGCCGCAGCTCCAGCGGTCCCTCCATTCGGTGTCCCTGACTTCCTGCAACAGAGTTTATATGAAGGCCTGGGATCAATGGAAAGGAATGTTCAGGTTAAGATAAGGACTGTGGAGACAAAGTTTTACTGTGCCGAGGAATCTCTCAGATAGCAGACTTCAGAGAGAGAGCAGGCTGTAAAATGTTTCTTATCAGACCTAAAAGGGTGCCTGGCTCTTAGTTGATTATCTCCTAGATCTGGAAAGGAAGGAAGGAAAACAAAGGGAAAGGGGATTCTCTATAGGATGTGGATTTTCTCCCACAAGAGACTTTGCAGGGCAATTTCAAGGTATGGCAAGGAAATATATTTTGGGGTTAAATATTTTTTCCTTTGTCTTGTAATTGACAAAGCAGGCGCATCACCATCTAGGATAAGCACTGCCATTCTAAAGTTGACCTTGATCAAAAACTGCCTAAATCCAAAGGGCATCAGCCTAATGGCTAAGGTCACCATAACCATAAACCACAAATAACATCTCCAACCAGAAATATTCCAAACCCCTCCCTGACCAGAGACATGCCAGCCCCAAGATAACCTCCCCTCTGGCTGGAGAGATGTCAGCCCCAAGATAACCTCCCCTCTGACTGGAGACACTCCAACCCTGCCATAAACTTCTTCCCCACAAAGAAACATTCCAAGCTCTACTCTTAGTCTGTAAGAGAGAGTGCTCCTGATCAAAATCATCCAAAAGCCCCTCTCAGGTTTATTCTCCAAAATAAACCTGTCATTGACTGTTAAGCCACCTTTTGTGTTTCTTTCCTCTTTCTTTAACTCTTACTAATGTTATGCCAGAGTCAGATTAAAAAGTAAGACACAATATATAGGGTCTCTCTCTCTCTTTCTCTCCCTCTCCCTCTCCCTCTACCCTCTGCACGGTCTCCCTCTGATGCCCAGCCAAGGCTGGAGTGTACTGCCGCCATCTCGGCTCACTGCAACCTCCCTGCCTGATTCTCCTGCCTCAGCCTGCCGAGTGCCTGGGATTGCAGGCGCGCGCCACCACGCCTGACTGGTTTTCGTATTTTTTGGTGGAGACAGGGTTTTGCCGTGTTGGCCGGGCTGGTCTCCAGCTCCTGACCGCGAGTGATCTGCCAGCCTCGGCCTCCCGAGGTGCCGAGATTGCAGACGGAGTCTCGCTCACTCAGTGCTCAATGTTGCCCAGGCTGGAGTGCAGTGGCATGATCATGGCCCGCTACAACCTCCACCTCCCAGCCGCCTGCCTTGGCCTCCCAAAGTGCTGAGATTGCAGACTCTGCCCCGCCGCCACCCTGTCTAGGAAGTGAGGAGCGTCTCTGCCTGGCCGCCCATCATCTGGAATGTGAGGAGCCCCTCTGCCCGGCCACCCAGTCTGGGAAGTGAGGAGCACCTCTTCCCGGCTGTCATCCCGTCTAGGAAGTGAGGAGTGTCTCTGCCCGGCCACCCATCATCTGGGATGTGGGGAGTGCCTCTGCCCCATCTGAGATGTGAAGAGCGCCTCTGCCTGGCCACAACCCCGTCTGGGAGGTGAGGAGCCTCTCTGACTGGCCGCCCCCTCTGAGAAGTGAGGAGCCCCTTCGCCCGGCTGCTGCCCCATCTGGGAAGTGAAGAGCCCCTCTGCCCAGCAGCCGCCCCGTCTGGGAAGTGAGGAGCATCTCCGCCCAGCAGCTGCCCCATCCGGGAGGTGGGGGGCGCCTCTGCCTGGCCACCCCGTCTGGGAAGTGAGGAGCCCCTCTGCCCGGCCGCCACCCCGTCTGGGAGGTGTACCCAACAGCTCATTGAGAACAGGCCGTGATGACGATGGCGGTTTTGTCGAATAGAAAAGGGGGAAATGTGGGGAAAAGAAAGAGAGATCAGATTGTTACTGTGTCTGTGTAGAAAGAAGTAGACATAGGAGACTCCATTTTGTTCTGTACTAAGAAAAATTCTTCTGCCTTGGGATGCTGTTAATCTATAACCTTGCCCCCAACCCCGTGCTCTCTGAAACATGTGCTGTGTCCACTAAGGGTTAAATGGATTAAGGGCAGTGCAAGATGTGCTTTATTAAACAGATGCTTGAAGGCAGCATACTCGTTAAGAGTCATCACCACTCCCTAATCTCAAGTACCCAGGGACACAAACACTGTGGAAGGCAACAGGGCCCTCTGCCTAGGAAAACCAGAGACCTTTGTTCACATGTTTATCTGCTGACCTTCCCTCCACTATTGTCCTATGACCCTGCCAAATCCCCCTCTCAGAGAAACACCCAAGAATGATCAATAAATACTAAAAAAATTAAAAAAAAAAAAAAAGAAAGAAAAGAATGGAAGAAACCATGGAAGTATTTATGACAACTATCAATGACAAACACTGAATCACAGATCCAGGAAGGTCAGAAAACACCAAGAAGGATAAATATCAAGAAATCTATATGTAGCCATATTTTATTAAAACTGCAAAAAAAATCAGACAATGAGAAAATATTGAAATAAGCCCACGGGGAAATATTACATTACCTATAAAGGAAAAAGGATAAAAATCACATTGGACTTCTCTTCAAAAACCAATGAAGAGAATACATGAAGAAAAATATTGGAGTGAACTACAGTAGTTCCCCATTATCCACAGGGAAAATGTTCCAAGACCCTCAGTGGATGCCTGAAACCATGAATACTACCAAACCTTATGTATATTATATATTTTTTCTATACTTATGATAAAGTTATTATACCTATGATAAAGTTTAATTTCTAAATTAGGCACAATACTCTTGCAATAAGAGGCCAATATTAAGTGAAATAAGGGTTACTTCAACACATGCACCTTGATACCATGACAATCAATCTGATAACCAAGATGGTTACTAAGTGACTAATGAGTAGGTAGTGTATACATTGGATAGGTTGGACAAAAGGATGATTCACATCTCAAGTGAGATGGAGAAGGACCACATAAGATTTCATCACACTACTCAGAATAGTGTACAATTTAAAACTTATGAATTATTTTATTTCTGTAATTTTCCATTTAATATTTTCAGATCACCATTGACCACGAATAACTGAAATCACGGAAAGTGAAACCACAGATAAGAGAGGACTACTGTTTCTGAAATGTTGAAAGAAAAATACCACAAACCTTGAATTCTGTATCCAGCAAAGTTATCCTCCTATACTGAAGTACAAAGACTATCAGATGACAACAACAACAACAACAGAAATCTAGAGGGAATTTGTTGCCAGTAGATCTTCTGTGATTAAAATGTTAAAGAAGTTTCTTAGAAAGAAATAAAATAATATAGGGCAGAAACTCAAATCTATATAAAAATGAAAGAGCATCAGAGAATCAGAGAATGAAGGTAAAATAAAATATTTTATTTTTCTTATTCTTCATGTTTAATAGCTGTTCATTCAAAACAATAATAACAACAACATATTGGGTGATGATAGCATATGGACAAATGAAATGAATGACAGTAATGTCATAAGCAATAAGAGGGAGGAATTGAGTATAATCTGTTATAAGGTGTCAGCACCACTCATGAAATGGTACAGTGTTATTTCAGAGTGGACTTAGACTAGTTTAAGACTACACTGCAAATTCTACTGACTAGTACAAAAACTAAGGAGAGAGAGAGAAAGAGAGAGAGTGAATTGACATGTAGAAGGTGGAAAATAATGGAGTCATAAAATGCTCAATTAAAATCACCCAAGGCAGAAAAAGAGAAAGGCTTAAAAAAAGAAAAAAAAAACAAAGACAATGAGTAGAAAACAGTTATAAACATTGTAGCTATTAATACAACTTTATTAATAATCACTTTAAGCATAAATTATCTAAATATACCTATTAAAATTAGAGATTTTCATAAGGGACTGAAAAAACCTACCTACGTTTCTGCAAGAAATGCATTTATAATATATATAAATTAAAAGTAAAGGGATAAATACAGATACCCCAGCCTAACTCCAATAAAAAAAAAAACTGAGGTAGCTATATTAATTTCAAAGACTCAAGAAGAAAGACATTATGAGAGATAAAGAGCGACATTACAAAATGATAAGGACATGAATTCTCCAAGAAGACATAACAAACCTTAATGTGTATGCACCTAACAACAAAATATTAAAATATCTGAGGCAAAAAAAAATGAAACTTCAAAAGAAAAGCCCATGCAAATCCACTATTGTAATTGGGGATTTTAACATTGCTCCATCAATAATGTACTGAGCCATCAGGCAGAAAATTAGTAGAGATGAGGGCACCTCACAAGAAATGGTGAAGGGAG
The DNA here is from genome assembly GCF_000001405.40 of Homo sapiens. Lineage (NCBI taxonomy): Eukaryota > Metazoa > Chordata > Mammalia > Primates > Hominidae > Homo > Homo sapiens. The sequence goes on from NC_000018.10 coordinate 11,347,440, forward strand.
TTCCTCAAGTTGAAATAAAGGGATGCTAAATAACAACATAAGAACACATGAAAGTATAAAACTCATTGCAAAGTTAAGAAATTAGTCAAATTCAGAACAGTCTAAGACTGTAATGATGGTATGTAAATCACTTTTAAACCTAGTATGAGTTAAAAGATAAAAGTATTAAAAATAACTATAGCTACAATAATTTGTTAATGAATAAACAATGTATAAAGGATGTATATTGCCACATTGGTAACACAAAATGTGGGGAGTGAGAGAAGTCAAAGTGTAGAGATTTTGTATGCAGTTAAAGTTAAGCTGTTATCAGCTTAAAGTAGACTATTTAAATTATAAGATGTTTTATGTAAACCTTGTGGTAAGCACAAAGAAAAAACTTATAGTAGGTACACAAAAAATAAAGAGAAAATAATCAAAACATACCACTACAAAAAATCATCACATCACAAAGGAAGGCAGCAAGAGAGGAAGAAAGAAACAAAGGAACTACAAAAGTCAGCAATTAACAAACAATTAATAAGATGGCAGTAGTATGTCCCGACTTAAAAATAATTACTTTACATGTAAATGGATTAAAATACTAATCAAAAGACATAGAGTGGATGAATTGATAAAAATAAGAAAAATCCAACTGTATGCTGCTTACAAGAGACTCACATGAGCTTTAAGAACAAATAGGCTGAAAGTGATGGAATGGGCCAGGTGAGTTGGCTCACGCCTGTAATCCCAGCATTTTGGGAGGGCCAAGGTCAGGGGATTGTTTAAGCTCAGGAGTTTGAGACCAGCCTGGGCAACAAAGAAAGACTCCCATCTCTACAAAATAATTTTTAAATAAATATTTTAAAAAGGAAAGTGAAAGGATAGAGAAAAATATTCCATGTAAATTGTAAACAAAAGAGAGTGGAGGTGGCTGTGCTTATAGTAGACAAAATAAACCTTAAGTCAAAAACAGTCACAAGGGACAAAGAAGGTCATTATCTAATAATAATGGGGTGAATTCATAAGTAGGATATGAAAATTGTAAACATATATACATCCAACATTAGAGCATATAAATATATAATACAAATGTTAACATAGCTGAAGGAAGAAATGACAATACAATAATAGTAGGGACTTCAGTACCCAATTTTCAACAATGGAGAGACCAACCAGACAGAAAATGAATAAGGAAACATTTGATTTTAACAATATGTTAAATCAAATGGGTCCTAACAGTCATATACAGAACATTTCATTCAACAGCAGCAGAGTACAAATTCTTCTCAAGTACACATGGAACATTCTTCAGGATAGATCAAGTGTTAGATGAAAAAAATCAATCTTAACAAATTTAAGATGATTGAAATTATATCAAGTATCTTTTCTGAACACAATGATCTGAAACTAGAATCAATAACAGGAGAAAAATTAAAAAATTCACAAATATGTGTACATTAAACGACACACTCCAAAACAACCAATAAGACAAAGAAAAAAATCAAAAAGGAAATCAAAAATTACCATGAAACAAATGAAAATGGAACAGTAGAGGAGTTGGATAAAGATGGAAGATAGGAGGCAGGACTAGCTTGCAGCTCCTGCTCAAACAGACAGAACAGCATGTGGAGACTCACATCACGAACTTTTGCTCCAAGAACTACCACAGGAGCATACCAGGAAAGCTGAGAGAATCTACAGACCCTTTGAAGGAAATGGATTGTGGCTGCAGGCTCCCTGAGATGCAAAAAAACTGAGAGTCTGCTTGCTTTCTCAGTGGAGAGGCTGGTGGTCTGGGACAAGTTCTCAGCCCAGGTCATCGGCTGCCTGGAAATAGACTCAGGGCTATTGTGGGGGCATGGTGGGAGTGAGATCAGCCATTAGGACTGCAGGCTACATGGGAGCAAGATAAAGTCTATGACTGCCAGCTTTCCCCCACTTCACTGGTGATCCCTACAACTCAGCAGAGGCTGCCATAATCCCCCTGGGAACATAACATAACTCCATTGGAATGGGAACTACACCCCCACCCCCGACAGCAGCCACAGCAAGCCCTGCCCAGGGAGAGTCTGAGCTCAGACATACCTATCCATGCCCCCACCTGGCTGTCTTTCTCTACCCGCTCTGGTTGCCAAAGACAAAGTACATAATCTCTTGGGAGCTCTATGGCCCTGCCCACCGCCTGAGAAATCTGAATACTTAACCTGGTGTCCCTAGGGCAAGTTTGCATCCTCCCTATAGGACCGCAGCTGATGCACTCTTGAAAGCACCACCTCCTGGCTGGAGGCCCACCAACACAAAACCAGCACACTAAACAAAAATACAACCAAGGACCTTAACAGATTCCACTTCACTCCCCTGCTACCTCCACCAGAGCAGGTGCTGGTATCCACCACTGAAAGATCTGAAGATGAATCACATCACAGGAGTCTTTGCAGACACTCCCCAGTACCAGCCCAGAACCTGGTAACTCCATTAGGTGGCTAGACCCAGAAGAACAAAAACAATCACTGCAGTTTGACTCTCAGGAAGCCCCATCTCTAGGGGAAAAGGGAGAACACCATATCAACGGAGCACCCCTGAACAGCAGCCTTTGAGTCTCAGATCTTCCCTCTAACATAATCTACCCAAATGAGAAGGAAACAGAAAAACAATTCTAGTAATATGACAAGACAAGATTCTTTAACACCCCCAAAAGATCACACCAGCTCCTCAGCAATGGATCCAAACCAGAAGAAGAAATCTCTGAATTGCCCAAAATATCACACCAACTCATCAGTAATGGATCCAAACAAGAAGAAATCTCTGAAATGCCAGAAAAGGAATTTAAAAGGTCAGTTATTAGGCTAATCATGGAAGCACCAGAGAAAGGTGAAGTCCAACTTAAAGAAATCAAAAACATTATACAAGTTATGACAGGGAAAATCTTCAGTTAAATAGATAGCATAAATAAAAAACACAACTTCTGGAAATCAAGAACACACTTACAGAAGTGCAAATGCACTGCAAAGTCTCAGCAATAGAATCAAACAAGCAGAAGAAAGAATTGCAGAGCTTGAAGACAAGGCTTTCAAATTAACCCAACCCATCAAAGACAAAGAAAAAAGAATTTAAAAAAAATGAACAAGATCTCCAAGAAGTCTGGGACTATGTTAAATGTCCAAACCTAAGAATAATTGGTGTTCCTGAGGAAGAAGAGAAATCTAAAAGTTTGGAAAACATATTTGAGGGAATAATTGAGGAAAACTTCCCTAGCTTTGCTAGAGATCTACACATTCAAATACAAGCAGCTCAAAGAACACCTGGACAATTCATCACAAAAAGATCATCACCTAGGCACATAGTCATCAGGTTATCTAAAGTCAAAACAAAGGAAAGAATCTTAAGAGCTGTGAGGCAAAAGCATCAGATAACCTACAAAGGAAAACGTATCAGAGTAATATGAGATTTCTCAGCAGAAACTCTAGAAGCTAGAAGAGATTGGGGTCATATTTTTAGCCTCCTTAAACAAAACAATTATCAGCGAAGAATTTTGTATCCAGTGAAACTAAGCTTCATAAATGAAGGAAAGACACAGTCTTCCAGACAAACAAATGCTGAGAATATTTCCCAGTACCAAGCCAGTACTACAACAATTGCTAAGAGGAGCTCTAAATCTTAAAACCAATCCTCAAAATACAACAAAATAGAGCCACTTAAAGCATAAATCTCACAGGACCTATCTAACAATAACACAATGAAAAAAAGAACAATAAGGTATTCAGGCGACAAATAGCACAATGAATAGAATAGCACCTCACATCTCAATACTAACATTGAATGTAAATGGCCTAAATGCTCCACTTAAAAGACACAGAATGGCAGAATGGATAAGAATTCACCAACGAACTTTCTGCTGTCTTCAGGAGACTCACCTAACACATAAGGACTCACATAAACTTAAGGTAAAGGGGTGAAAAAATCCATGAAGATGGACACAAAAAGTGAGCAGAAGTAGCTATTCTTATATCAGGCAAAGCAATCTTTAAGGCAACAGCAGTTTAAAAAGATGAAGAGGGATATTATGTAATGATAAAAGGACTTGTGCAACAGGAAAATACCACAACCCTAAATATATATGCACCTAACACTGGAGCTCCCAAATTTATAAAACAAATACTACTAAACCTAAGAAATTAAACAGCAACACAACAATAGCAGGGGAACTTAATACTCCACTGATAGCAGTAGACAGGTCATCAAGACAGAAAGTCAACAAAGAAACAACAAACTTAAACTATACCCAACAATAAATGGACTTTACAGATATTTACAGAACATTGTACCCAACAACTGCAGAATACACATTCTGTTCATCAGCCATGAAACATTCTCCAAGATAGACCATGTGAAAGGCCACAAAAAAGTCTCGGTAAATTTAAGAAAATCGAAATTATATCAAGTACTCTCTCAGACCACAGCAGAATAAAACTGGAAACAACTCCAAAAGGAACCCTCAAAACCATGCAAATACATGGAAACTAAATAACCTGCTCCTGAATGATCATTGGGTCAACAATGAAATCAAGATGGAAATTAACAAATTCTTTGAGCCGAATGATAATAGTGACACAACCTATCAAAACCTCTGAGATACAGCAAAAGCAGTGCTAAGAGGAAAGTTCATAGCATTAAATGCCTACATCAAAAAGTCTGAAAGAGCACAACTAGACAATCTAATGTCTAGTTGGACATTAGACATTAGAAGCCTCATGGAACTGGAGAAATGAGAACAGTCCAAACCCAAACCCAGTAGAAGAAAAGAAATAACAAAGATCAGAGCAAAACTAAATGAAATTGAAACAAAAATATACAAAAGATAAATTAAACAAAAAGCTGGTTCTTTGAAAAGATAAATAAAATTGATAGACCATTGGCAAGATTAACCAAGAAAAGAAGAGAGAAGATACAAATAAGCCAATCAGAAATGAAATGGGAGATATCACTACTGATACCACAGAAATACAAAAGATTATTCAAGTCTACTATAAACATCTTTATGTGCATAAATTAGAAAAACTGGAAAAGATGGATAAATTCCTAGAAATATACAACCATCCTAGATTAAACCAGGAAGATATAGAGTCTCTGAACAGACCAATAACAAGCAGAGAGACTGAAATGGTCGTAAAAAAAAAAAATGCCACCAAAAAAGTCCAGGACCAGATAGATTCATGGCTGAATTCTTTCAGACATTCAAAGAAGAATTGGTACCAATCCTACTGACACTATTCCAAAAGGTAGAGAAAGAGGGAATCCTCCCTAAATAATTCTATGAAGTCAGTATTACCTTAATACCAAAACCGGTGAATGATATAACAAAAACAGAAAACTACAGACCAATATCCTTGATGAACAAAGATGCAAAAATCCTTAACAAAATACTAACAAACTGAATCCAACAGTACATCAAAAAGATAATCTACCACGATCAAGTGGGTTTCATACCAGGGATGCAGGATGGTTTAACATATGTAAGTCAATAAATATGATACACTACCTAAGCAGAATTGAAAACAAAAATTACATGATCATCTCATTAGATACAGAAAAAGCATTTGACAAAATCCAGCATCCCTCTATGATGAAAACCCTCAACAAAATCTGCATAGAAGGGACATACCTTAATGTAATAAAAGCCATTTATGACAAACCTACAGCCAACGTTATACTGAATGGGGAAAAGTTGAAAGCATTCCCCCTGAGAACTGGAACAAGACAAGGATGCCTGCTTTCACCACTTTTATTCAACATAGTACTGGAAGTCTTAGCCAGAGCAATCAGACAAAAGAAATAAAGGCATCCAAATCAGTAAAAAGGAAGTCAAACTGTCGCTATTTGCTGATGATATGATTGTATATCCAGAAAAATCCTAAAGACTCATCCAAGAAGCTCCTATAACTGATACATGAATTCATCAAAGTTTCAGGATACAAAATTAATGTACACAAATCAGTAGCTCTGCTATACACCAACAGTGACCAAGATGAGAATCAAATCAAGAACTCAACCACTTTTACGATAGCTTCCAAAAAATATAAAATACTTTGGCACATACCTACCCACAAGGTGAAAGATCTCTACAAGGAAAACTACAAAACAGTGCTGAAGGAAATCATAGATGACACAAACAAATGGAAACACATCCCATGCTCATGGATGGGTAGAATCAATATTGTGAAAATGACCATACTGCCAAACGCAATCTACAAATTCAATGCAATTCCCATTAAAATACCACCATCACTCTTCACATAACTAGAAAAGACAATCCTAAAATTCATATGAAACCCAAAAAGAGCCCACATAACCAAAGCAAGACTAAGCAAAAGAACAAATCTGGAGGCATCTCATTACCTGACTTCAAATATACTATAAGGCCATAGTTACCAAAACAGAAGGGTAGTCATAAAAAATAGGCACATAGATCAATGGAACGGAATAGAGAACCCAGAAATAAAGCCAAATACAGCCAACTGATCTTTGAGAAGCGAACAAAAACTTAAGTGGGGAAAGGACACTCTATTCAACAAATGGTGCTGGGATAATTGGCAAGCCATATGTAGAAAAATAAAACTGGATCCCCATTTCTCACCTTATACTAAAATCAACTCAAAATGGATCAAGGACTTAAGTATAAGAACCGAAACCATAAAAATTCTAGAACATAACATTGGTGAAACCCTACTAGACATTGGTTTAGGCAAAGACTTCATGACCAATAACCCAAAAGCAAATGTGACAAAAACAAAGATAAATAGATGGGACATAATTAAACTAAAAAGCTTCTGCACAGAAAAAGAAATAATCAGCAGAGTTTACAGACCACCCACAGAGTGGGAGAAAATCTTCACAATCTAAACATCTGACACAGGACTAATATCCAGAATCTACAAAGAACTCAAACAAGTCATCAAGAAAAAAACAATCCCATCAAAAAATGGGCTAAGGACATGAATAGACAATTCTCAAAAGAAGATATAGAAATGACCAACAAGCATATAGAAAAATGCTCAGCATCACTAATCATCAGGGAAATGCAAATCAAAACCATAATGGGATACTACCTTACTCCTGCAAGAATGGCCATAATCAAAAAATTTAAAAAAAAATAGATGCTGGTGTGGATGTGGTGAAAAGGGAACACGTTTACACTGTTGGTGGGAATGTAAACGAGTACAACCGCTATGGAAAAGAGTGTGGAGATTCCTTAAAAAACTAAAAGTATATCTACCATTTGATCCAGCAATCCCACTACTAGGTATCTACCCAGAAGAAAAGAAGACATTATACTTGCACATGCAGGTTTATAGCAGCACAATTTCAAATTACAAAAATATGGAACCAGTCCAAACGCGCCTCAGTCAAGAAGCGTATAAAGGAAATAAAGGAAATGTGAGATGTGTGTGTGTGTGTGTGTGTGTATGTGTATGTGTATAATGGAATACTACTTGGCCATAAAAAGGAATGAAATAATGGCATTTGCAGTAGCCTGGGTGGAAATGGAGACTATTATTCTAAGTGAAATGACACAGGAATGAAAAAAAAAAACAAAGATTTTATGTTCACATTCATATGTGAGAGCTAAGGTACGCAGACACAAAGGCATAAGAATGATACAATGGACTCTGGAGACTCGGTGGAAAAGCTAGAGGTGGTAAGGGTTAAACGACTACACGCTGGGCACACTGTACACTGCTTGGTGATGGGAGTACCAAAATCTCAGAAATCATCACTAAACTTATTCATGTAACCAAACATCACCTGTTCCCCAAAAACCTATTGAAATAAAAAAATAAATTTTAAAAAAGGGAACATACTAAACTTATGGGATACAGCAAAATCAGTTCTAAGAGAGAAGCTAGACAAATGCCCAAATTAAGAAAAAGAAAGATCACAAATAAACAACCTATATTTATACCTCAGGAAATTAGAAAAATAATAAACTAAGCACAAAGTTAGCAGAAGAAAGGAAGCAATAAAGATCAGAGCAGAAATAGAGACTAGAAAAACAATAGAAAAGATCAATGAAACTGAGTCATTTTTTAAAAAATAAAGGCAAAATTAACAAGCCTTTACTAGACTAAGATAAAAGACCACTCAAATTAATGAAATTTTAAATGAAAGAAAAGATTTTACAAATGATCCCACAGACTACAAATCATCATTAGAGACCACTACAAACAATTGTATGCTAACAAATTGGATAACCTAGAAGAAATGAATAAATTCCTAGAAGCATACAACCTACCAAGTCCGAATCATGAAGAAAGAAAAAATATGTAGAGATCAATATCAAGTAAAGAGATTGAATGAGTAATAAAATCCCACCAACAAAATAAAGTCCAGGACCTGATTGCTTCACTGGTGAATTCTAACAAGCATTTAAAGAATTAATACTAATCCTTCTCAAACTCTTTCAAAACAGTGAAAGATGAGGTAATACTTACAAACTGATTTAATGAGGCCAGCGTTACCCCGATACAAAAGGCAGATAAGGACACTAAAAGAAAAGAGAATTACAGTCCAATATGTCTGATGCACATAGATGGGAGAACTCTTAAAAAATTACTAGCAAGCTGAAATCAAAAGTACATTTATGGATCATTCACCATGATCAAGTGGGCTTTATCCCTGTGATGGAAAGTTTAAACACACAAATTCGTAAATGTGATACAACACATTAACAGAATGAAGTACAAAAACAGTATGATCATCTCAATAGATGCAGAAAAAAATATTTGACAAAATTCAACATCCTTTTATGATATTAAAAAATCTTTCAACACATTAATTGTCGAAGAAATGTACCTCAACATAATAAAGGCCATAAATGACAAGCCCACAGCTAATATCATATTCAATAGTGAAAAACTGAAAGCTTTTCCTCTAAGATAAGGAAAAAGACAAGGATGTTCACTCTTGTAACTTCAATTCAACATAGTTCTAAAAGTCCTGGCCAGAGGAACAAGGCAAGAGAAGGAAATAAGGGGTAACCAAATAAAGGAAGAACTGAAATTGCTATTTGCAGATGACATGATCTTACATATTAAAAAAACTCTAAATACGCCACCAAAAACTTATTAGTTTATTAGTTAGAACTAATAAATTCAATAAAGTTTCAGGATATAAAATCAGCATACAAAAACAGTTATGTTTCTATACACTAACAAATAACTACTTGAAAAGAAAATTAAAAAACAATGCTGTTTACAATAGCATCCAAAAATACTTTGAAATAAATTTAACCAATGAGATGAAAATTCTGTATAATAAAAACTATAAAACTTTGATAAAAGAGATTGAAGAATACACAAACAAATGGAAAAATGTCTTGTGTCTATGGATTGGAAGAATTGATATTAAAATGTCCACACTATTCAAAACAAACTACAGATTCAGTGCAATCTTTATCAAAATTCCAATGGCAGTTTTCACAGAAATGGAAAAAAAAATTCTAAAATTTGTGTAGAACCACAAAGACCCTGAATAGCTAAAGAAATCTTGAGTAAAAAGAACGAAGCCAGAGGCATCACACTACCTGATTTCAAAATATACTGCAAAGCTATAGTAAATAAAACAAAGCTATAATACTGGAATAAAAACAGGCATATAAACCAGAGGAATAGAATAGAGAGCCCAGAAATAAATTCACACATTTACAATCAATTGATGTTTGACAAAAGTACCAAGAGTACACACTGGGGAAAGGACAATTGCCTTGATAAATAGGGCTGGAATATAGAATAACCACAGGCAGAAGAAGGAAATTGGACCCTTATTTCACACCATATACAAACACCAACTCAAACTGGATTAATGACTTAAAAGTAAGACCCGAAACTGTAAAACTACAAGAAAAACATAGGAAAAAGCTTATTGACATTGGTCTGGCTGATAATTTTTTGGATAGAATCCTAAAATCATACATGACAAAAGCAAAAATATATAAATGAAATTCTATTGAAGACAAGCTTCTACACAGCAGAGAAAATAATCAACAGATTGAAGAGGCAATGGGAAAAAAATGTGCAAACCACACATCTGATAAGAGGTTAATATAAAAAAGATGTAAGGAACTCAAACAACTCACAAGCAAGAAAATAAATAACTCAATTTATAAATTGGCAATGGACCTAAATAGACATTTCTCAAAAGACGACATACAAATGTCCAATAGGTACATGAAAAGAAGCTCAGCATCACTAATCATGAGGAAAATGCAAACCAAAATCCCAAGGTGGTATCACTTCACACCTGTTAGAAAGGTAGTTATCAAAAAGACAGGAGATAATGAGTGTTGAAAAGTGGAGAAAAGGGAATCCTTGTATGTTGTTGACAGTGATGTAAACTGGTACAGTTACTATAAAAAAAAGTAGAAGCTCATCAGAAAATTAAAAATAGAATTACCATGTGATCCAGCAAAGTCACTCTGAGATATATCCAAAGGAAATAAAACAAGTATCTTGGAGAGACATCTGCACTCCCCTGGACATTGCAAAAGTATTCGCAATAATGAAGATACAGAATCAACCTAAGTGCCCATCAATGAATGAATGGATAAAGACATGTAGACACACACACACACACATATATATACACACACACACACACAAATGAGTATCATTTATCCTTTAAAAGGAAGCAAATCTTGTCATTTGCAACAATACTAATGCACCTGGAGGATACTGAGCTAATTGAAATAAGCCAGGCACAGAAAGACAAATATTGCATGATCTTTATATGTGAAATCTAAATTCGTCAAACTCATAGAAGCAGAAAGGAGAGTGGTGGTTGCTGGGGGGAATGAATGGTAGGGACAATAGAGAGATGTTTGCCACAAGATACAAAGTTTCAATAGGCAGGATGAATAAACTCTGGAGATCTTATGTATGGCATAGTGACTGTAGCTAATAACGTTTTGTTTTATACTTGAAATTTGCTAAAAGTGTAGAACTTAAAAATTCTCACCACCAAAAAACAAAAAACAACAAACAACACTGCTACATGAAGGAATGAATCTGTTAGTTAACTTAATTGTGGTAATATCCAGTATGTACACTTATATAAAAATATCACATTGTATATTACAAACATATACATTTTTATTGTCAATTATACCTCAATAAAGCTGGAAAATAAAATAAAATAACAACTGAAAAAGCTAGAAAATAACTAATAAAATTAAAAGCAGAAAATAGAGAAAATTGATGCATCCAAAACCTGGTTCTTGGGAAAGATGAAGAGAACTGATTCACTTCTAACATAGCCAACCAAAATAAACAAACAAAACCACAAATCACTAATATCAGAAATGAAAGAGGGGTCATTTCTACTGATATCATGGACATTAAGAGGATAATTAAGGCATACTGTGTACAACTCTTTACTCACAAATTTGATAACAGAGACTAAACAAAATAAGACTCAAAATACCAAAACCCACACATAGAGAAATAGACAATCTGAATAGGCCTATATCTAGAAAATATACTGATTCAACAATTAACTAGCTCTCGAAAAATAAAGTACAAGGCCCCTATGGTTTCACAGGTGATTTCTACCAAATATTTAAAAAAGAAATACTATCAATTCTTTATAATTTGTTCCAGAAAATGGAAGTAGAGTGAACACTTACTAACAGATTACTTAAGGCCAGGATTACCTTAATACCAAAATCAGATAAAGACATTACAAAAAAGGAAAGGAAAACTACAGACCAATATCTCTCATGAACATTGACACAAAAATCCTCCAAAAATATTAGCAAATTAAATGCAACAAAGCATTAAAAAAATTATCCACACTTTGAACTAAGTTGGATTTTTTTCCAGATGTGCAAGAGTGGTTCAACCTTTGAGAATCAATTAATGTAACATACCACATCAACAGGCTAAAGAAGATAAATCATATAGTCATATCAATTGATGAAAAAAAGAATTTGAAAAAATCTAACACTTATTCATGACAAAAACTTGAGCAAACTAGGAGTAAAAGGCAACTTCCTCAACTTGAACAATGTAATAGTTAGAAATGAGATACTTTCCTCCTAAAATTCGGAACATTGCAAGAATTTCCCCTTATCATTCATGCTCAACAACACACTGAAGTTCCAGCTAATGCAAGAGAATAAAATAAAATAAAAGGAATAAACATTGATAATAAGAAATAAAATGTCTTTGTTTACATATGATATGATTATCTATGTGGAAAATCCCAAAGAATTGACAAATATACTCTTAGTACTAATAAGTATTAATAAGCAATTATAGCAAGATTGCAAAATATAAGGTTAATATATGTTTATCACTTTCATATATGCCAACAATAAACAATTGGAATTTGAAGTTAAAACATAATACTATGTAGGTTAGCATACAAAAAATGAAATAGGTATAAACCTAACAAAATATGTATAGAATCTATGTAAGCTATAATACTTTGATGAAGAAATCAAAATGATCTAAAGAAACTGAGAGAGACTCCATGTCCATGAATAGACTCAATATGATCAAATTTTCAGTTTTCACCTGTTAATCCACAGATTCATGGCAATCTTAATCAATACCTTTGCAGAATTTCTTGTATATACCAGCAAATTTATCCTAAAATTTACATGGAAAGTTAAAAAAAACAGTTTAGCAAAAATATTTTGCAAAAAAAGATGAATTACATATATGATCTCATTTCAAGTCTTAGTTTAATGTAATAATGATCAAGGCAATGAAATAAAAATCCCAAAAATAGATGCACACCTTATGGCCAACTGATTTTTGACAAAGGTGAAAAGGAAAGTCAATGGTGAAAGAACAGTAGTTCTACAAATGGTGTTAAAATAGATCTACATAAATATCACACTTCATATAAAAATTAGCTTGAATTATAGGCCTAATTGTAAAATGTCAATTTTTTAAATTTTAGAAGAAAATATGAGAAAATCTTTGTGACCTTAAGTGAGCCAAAAATTTCTTAGATTCAATACCTTAAAAACCAGCCAGAAGAGAAAAAAATAATTGCACTTAAAATTAACAATACTTTTAAGAGAATGAAAAGAGAAAACATAACCTGGAAAGAAAATCCTTGCAAATTTCATATCTTACAAAGGTATTGGATCCCAAATATAAAAATGTATAAATAAATCTCAGAACTCAGTAAGAAATTATCTAATAAAAAATGTTAATAGGCACTTCATCAATGAAGATATATGAATGAAAAATAAGTACATTAATAGATGCTCAACATCATTAGTTACTAGGGAATGCAAAATAAAACTAGAATGAGATAGTATAAACTTTCAGAGTAGCTATTCAAAAGAAAAATGACAATATTGAACTGTAATAACAGAAAGGTCTGATATCTTTTCTTCCCATTATAAGGGTCACAGCTGACAGTTCTATTTAAAAAAAGACAGGTTAAGAAGAAAAAAAATAACATTTAACCAAAGTTCTTCATGACATAGGAGCCTTCAGAATGAAGACCCAAATACCCAAGGGAAAACCGTCCACTTGTATGCTTAGATATGATGAAGAGTGGACAGCCATGCAGAAATGTGATTAGACAAAAAAAAAAAAAAAAGATAATCTTAACAATAAACTGAGTGGGAAAAACAGCAAGGCCTGTCTGTTGGGATTCTTCTTAGCCTGTCTATGTGACATTCATTTTTCTCATCTCTATAATGAGGGTCTTATGCTCTACTACTGGACAAGGTCAGAGAATTTATCTGTAGCCAGTTCCTAGACAGAAAGGTGGGGAAAGGTTAGAATAATATTTCTAGGTTTCACAGCTTGCTCTGAGGGAGAGGGGCTCTGGTTACTATAATCTGCCTTGAAGAAAGGCAATTCTAGTTTCTATGGCCTGCCTCAAGGGAGAATGAGGGATGAGAGACAGAAGGATAGGAGAAGGCCACAGAGAAACTTTGCTTGTGTGGCTGGTTCTGAGGACTTCACTTTAGGGTGTTCTTTTCTGAACCCCAACAAAGTGCTTGTGAGGATGCAGAGTAATTTAGGCCTTTCACACATTACCAATAATGCAAAATGGTACAGACGCTATGAAAAGCAGTTGCACTGTTTCATATAAAGTTAAATACACAGTCATCATATGACCTACCAATTTCACTCCTAGGTTTTTATGTAGAAATATGAAAACTTATGATCATAAAGATTTGTATGTGAATGTTTATAGCAGCTTTATTCATAACTGCCCCAAACTGAAAACAATCCAAATATACCTGAACTGGGGAGTGGAAAAACAATTGGCTGTACGTCCATAAAATGGAATACTAGCTAGCAATAAAAAGAAGCAAACTATTGAAATATGCAACAGCATGAATCAATCTAAAATGCATTGTGCTGAGTAAAAGAAGGCCGACTAATAAATATCACTAATCTTCAGGGAAATAAAAATTAAAACCACAATAAAAAACACAATACCTTCATGAGTATGTTTAAAATTCGTACAAGACTGACACCACCAAGTGTCAATAAAGATGTGGAAAATGTGGAATTCTTATACATTCCTGGTGGGAATTAAAATTATACAACCTTTTTGGAGAATTGTTTGGCAATTTCTTACAAAGTTTCATATACACCTACTCTATGACTCAGCATTTTTTTTTTTTTTTTTTTTTTGAGACGGAGTCTTTGTCTGTCGCCCAGGCTGGAGTGCAGTAGGGCGATCTCCGCTCACTGCAAGCTCTGCCTCCCAGGTTCATGCCATTCTCCTGCCTCAGCATCCTGAGTAGCTGGGACTACAGGTGCCCGCCACTACACCCAGCTAATTCTTTGTATTTTTAGTAGAGATGGGGTTTCACCGTGTTAGCCAGATTGGTCTCCATCTCCTGACCTTGTGATCTGCCCTCCTCGGCCTCCCCAAAGTGCTGGGATTACAGGCGTGAGCCACCACGCCTGGCCAGCATTTTCACTTTGAGGAATTTATCTAAGTGAAATCAACATGTGCTCACAAAAAGACCCTAATGTGAATGTTCATAGCAACTTTATTCAAAATAGCCAAAATCTAGAAACAACGCAAAGGTCAACAACAGAAAAAATAAATGAATTGTGGTACATTCAAAAAATGAAAAACTACCTAACAATATAAAGAAATGAACTGTTCATGCATGCAACGCCTACGAATGTAACTGCCTGACAGGTTCACCTTGACAGCTGCCTAGATAGAGCCCATTTGTCAAAGCAGTAGAATTGCAATAGAGAAAGAGTAATTCACTCAGTGCTGGCTGTACTGGAGACTGGAGTTTTATTATTACTCAAATTAGTCTCCCTGAGCATTCAGGGATCAGAGTTTTTAAGGATAATTTGGTGGGTTGGGGGGAGTTAGTAAGTCAGGAGTGCTGATTGGTTGGGTGGGAGATGAAATCATAGGGAGTCAAAGCTGTCTTGTTGTGCTCAGTTCCTGGGTGTGGGCCACAAGATTCAGTTTATCTACCTAGGTGGTACCAGTTGATCCATCAAGTGCAGGATCTGCAGACTACCTCAAGTACTGATCTTAGGCTTTACAATAGTAACGTTATCCCCAGCAGAGATTTGGGGAGGCTCAGAATCTTGTAGCCTCCAGCTGCATGACTCCTAAACCACAATTTCTCATCTTTTGGCTAATTTGTTAGTCCTACAAAAGCAGTCTAGTCTTCAGGCAAGAAGGAAGTTTGTTTTAAACTATAAACTAGGTTCCTCCCAAAGTTAGTTCAGCCTACTCCCAGGAATGAACAAGGACAGCTTTGGAGGTTAGAAGCAAGATGGAGTCAGTGAGGTAAGATCTCTTTCACTGTTGCAGTTAAAATTTTGCACTAGTGTTTTCACGAATCTCAAAAATATTATACTGAGTGAAAGAAACCAGACCCAAAGAACACAGGCTGTGTGTTTCTATTTATCTAAATGTTAAGAATAGGGAAAACAAATATATAGTGATAGAAATCAGACATTTCAAAGTGGGCAGAGGAGGAGGGGCTTGACTAGAAGGGGGTCCCAGGGAAGTGTCCATAGTTATGGAAAAGTTTGGGTGGTAGTTACATGGGCACATACAGTTGTCAAAATTCATTGAATTATATCTAAAATATGTGAATTTTATTTTATGTAAACTATATATTTATATCTATTTAACATATTTTATAGCAATCAGATGAATTCCCTATCCTGCTAAAAGTGAAAATCATTGTTTTTTTTAAATTCCAGTTTTAAAGAATTGCATATTTTCCTCTTCTTTTATTTTCTAAATTATAAATTTATGCATTTCTATTTTTTTACATTAGTTCAGCCTTATCAAAAGTTTATGTTTGCATTTTCATTTCATTAATTTCTGCTTTTATTATTTTCTATCCTACTCTTCGGAATTTGTCTTTCTAGTTCTAAATTCTTTTTTTTTTTTTTTTTTGAGACAGAGTTTTGCTCTTGTCCCCTAAGCTGGAGTGCAATGGAGCGATCTTGGCTCACTGCGACCTCGGCCTCCCAGGTTCAAGTGATTCTCCTGCCTCAGCCTCCCAAGTAGCTGGGATTAAAGGCACCCACCACCATGCCCAGGTAATTTTTATAATTTTAGTAGAGACGGGGATTCGCCATGTTGGGCCAGGCTGGTCTCAAACTCCTGACCTCAGGTGATCCACCCTCCTTGACCACCCAAAGTGCTGGGATTACAGGCGTGAGCCACCGCACCTGGCCTTCTATCTTCTATTTATAAATTCTTTTTTTTTTTTTTTTTAGAGGTAGGGTCTTGCTGGAGTACAGTGGTGTGATCCTGGCTTACTGCAGCCTTGGCCTCCTGGGGTCAAGTGATCCTTCCACCTCAGCCTTCTAAGTAGCTGGAAATACAGATAGTGTCACCACACCCAGCTAATTTTGTAAATGTGTTTGTAGAGACAGGGTTTCACTGTGTAGCCCAGGCTGGTTTTGAAGTCCTGGCCTCAAGCAATCCTCCCACCTCAGTCTCCCAAAGCTCTGGGATTACAAGCATGAACCACTGCACCAGGCTTATTTCTAAATTCTAGAGTTTGATTCTTAACTCAATAATTTTTTTATTATTTCTTCATTAAAAAAACATGTTGTTAAGTCAGAAATTGTGAACAATATGAGATATTATTCTACTTGCACCAGAGAGAGAGAGCAAAACCCAGTAGCAGCATCCACTCAACACTACGCGAGGTAAGGAATTGCACTGCAGGTGAGGTGCCTGGGAGTATGCCAGAAATATGCATTTTTCCACACATATACAAGCAGAAAATATGCACACCCCCTATGGTATAGGGAGAAGGTTCCTCGTCTCCCTTCGGAATGTTAATAAATGTCTCCAGGGGAAAGATAAAATGTGCTTCCAATTCAGTTTCACCCCTTTAGTTTTGTTTTTTGTTTTTTTGAGACAATCTTGCTCTGTCCTGTTGCCTAGGCTGGAGTTCAGTGGCTCAATCTTGGCTCACTGCAACCTCCGCCTCCCACGTTCAAGCAATTCTCCTGTCTCAGCCACCCGAGTAGCTAGGATTACAGGCACGCACCACCACACCCAGCTGATTTTTTTGTATTTTTAGTAGAGAAGGGGTTTCACCATGTAGGCCAGGCTGGTCTCGAACTCCTGACCTCAAGTGATCCACCCGCCTCAGCCATCCAAAGTGCTGGGACCGGCCAGTTTCACCTCCTTGAAATGTAAACACCTATGAAGATAACTCTCTAAATCCCTCAGGTGATCTCAAGGTTATTCAGTCTGTCTTTCCAGTTTCCCAGGCCCCACCCGGGCATGCAAACTTCTTCCCACTCAGGGAAATAGAAGAACTTTTGTCTTGGATTTCTACTTAGTCTCCATTAAAGAAGAAAAATAAATTAAAATTTTTTAATTAAAAAAACACTTTTGTTTTCCTTTAGATGGAAGGGAATTAGTTCCAACTAAAAGAAGACAAATAACCGCAGTTTAATACTCAAGACGTGCAAAAAGTAAAATATTTGGGGGGAAAGGAAAACATTCTCTAGCTTCATATTATATCCATTTCAGTGGTTCAGGGAACCAGAATTTTGCAGGAATAAAAGAAATCCAGGAAAGATTTATTTCTTCGTGCATGTATTTTAAGGCTATAAAATTCCCTCTATTGAATGATTTATGTATATTTCACAAATATTCCCTTGGAATTTACATTTTCTTCTAAATATTTTCTAATATTTCTTGTGATTTCTTTTTCCTTTTTTCCCTTTTTTTTTAAATTTTTTTTGAATTATTTTATGTATGTTTCTTAGTTTCCAAACATTCTGAGGGCAGGCGCCGGCCACCCTGTAAACCTGTAAAAGCATACAGGTTTACCTGTTTCTTTGGATCTTCATTTTCTTGTGAAGGTTCCTATATCCAATGAAACTTTTATTAAACAAATTTGTGTGTTTATCTCTTGTTAATCTTTCCGTTATTAGGGAGGCCTCAGGCATAAACCTAGCAATCACTGAGAAAAAAATATTTTTTTATCCCCTACAGTGATAAAATATATAGATATATATAATAAAATGTGCTATGTTAAGCATTTTTATGTGTACATTTCACAGTTCAGTGGCATCCATAAGGTTTTATATCATCTGTTAGTTTCAGGCTTATACATGTACCAAATCAACATTATTATGTTGCCTAAATCTTCTAAATTCCCATTAACTTTTTTGCTGCCTTTTCTACCCATGATTGAAAGAGGTGCAAGTTCTCTCATAATTTTGTAATTTTTTTCTAGCAGTTTTGTAGTTTTATACCATATACTTTGACCATATACCATATACTTTGACATGATGTTGTAAGATTTATAATTATTTTATTCTCCCAGCATCTCATCTATCTTTATCTTATCAATACATAAATATCCTAATTAGCCATACACATTTTTGCCTTAAAATGTATTCCATTCTATGTGATTTTATTACGAGGATCAAGCTGAGTGGCCTAAGGACAAGGCATTTCGAGTAGATGGGACAGGATCAGATTTATTTTCCTTTCAGTGGATGGTCATGTGAAAATAGCTATAAACCTCATGGGTGAAGAGGAAATTCTGTGGGATGAAAAACAAAGGCAAATTTGTATTTGGTTCAATTCTCTGCGGAATCACTTTGCCTTTCCTTCTCTGTGGTTGGTCAGCTTTCCTCAAAGATCCCAGCATGCTGCTACTCTGTGTGACTCTGAGTCATCCACTTTTAAGTGACCTGGGCATCTGGCACTTTAGGACACCCGATATCTTTTGCTTCTGTCTTTCATATCTGTGCTATTTTCAGCCTCAGCAGAGTTTTATATACAACTCGTTCTCTCAGGCATGACTCCCCTAAGCCAGCTAGTGCCTTGTTTTGCGTCTTGTACATGCAGGTCTGGAGTGGAAACTGTGCTCCTTCAGATGGCACATTTTATTTGAAAGCAGTTGGCATTCACTGAGATGCACCCACACAATATTCCCAGGAAGGATGGAAAGCCCTGCTACTTGTATTTATTTTGTTTGAATTACAACAAAAACAAACTTGGATATTGAGTAACTGGGCCTTGATGGTGACAGCAATGAGAATGAATGCAAATCACTGTGAAATACCTTACACCCACATCTTGATGGCCACTTTTAAAGAACAAACTAAAAAGCTGAACTCATACCAACATTGCCCCAATCCTTATCTGTCAAACACCTTTTGTCTATCTTACATATGAAAGAAAAAAAAAACAAACAGCTGTTTATTTCAGTCAAATAAAATGTTACATGCTATTCCCCGTTTCAGCCTCTACCACTTTGCCCAACAAAAAGATGCCCAAGGTTTCTCTAGGGCAGTTCACAATGGCTTCTGCTTCCTTTGCCCGCCTCACTCCTATTCTCTCTTTCAAGCACGTTTCAGTAGATCACATTTTGAAGAGGTTGCTTGTGATTCTGAAAGCTGTCCAGTTCCATAAAATATACCCTCTTCATGTCACAGGTGATGGCCACCATTTGGCTTCTTTGGATCTAATGAGATGAGTATCAACTTCTGCCCCTCCATCTGTTTCCTGCATCAACCTTAAATAATAATATTCAGAAAATATAATCAAATGTAGAATTTATTGGAACACAAAGCTTAAGGACAGCCACCTGGGAAGCACAGATTCCAAAGAATAGAACTCAGTGTTCCAAAGTTTGGAGTCATTTATACAGACAAGGTCTAGGGAAGTTTAACAGAATTTCAACATCTTTCTAAGCCAGGCTTAATGCCTGGTTACAATGATCTGATTGGTTGAGGTGGTCTTTTTCTTTTGGGAAAGGTATATTGAACATTCCACACTGAAGATGTAACAGTCATGGGACCTTTTGTACCATCTGGTCTGAGTTAGGTACAGGACAACAAAAGAGGCAGCTAATCTATAACAAAGGTCAGCCAGCCACGGTGGCTCACGCCTGTAATCCCAGCACTTTGGGAGACCAAGGCGGTTGGATCACCTGAGGTCAGGAGTTCAAGACCAGCTTGGCCAACATGGTGAAACCCCACCTCTACTAAAAAAAAAAAAATACAAAACATTAGCTGGACGTGGTGGCGTGTGCCTATAATCCCATCGACTTGGGAGGCTGAGGCAGGAGAACTGCTTGAACCCGGAAGGGGAGGTTGCAGTGAGCCAAGATCATGCCACTGTGCAACAGAGAGAAACTCCATCTCAAAAAACAAACAAACAAACAAACAATCTATAACAAAGGTCAGTGATTAGACGGGAAGGAGGTCTGGTCTGTGGTCTGTCCTAGTCATTTACAGAACAAGAACAATGAGGAGGAGAGCTAATCTAAATTCTAAGAAGCAGAAGTTGCAACTCCATGATTCACGCTATGTGACTCGGATGACAGTCACATCTCTCTCAAGGTTCACAGTGTTTGGGGTATTGCACAGCTTTTAATTTTATTCATTTTCACAGTTGGATGTTCTTTCTTTTATAAGAGATTTCCCCATGAATGTGGTTTCTGATTTCCCACACTACTCTACATTCCCGCAGAGTCACATCACAAACTGATCAATCTTCCTGCTCAAGTTAATAGATTTTGGGTGAGGAGGGACATTGTTTTGGATCACTTGATTCTTCGTTTTTATTGTGGTAAAATATACATAATGTAAAACTTACCATCTTGACCATTACTGAATGTTGTAGGAGACCAGAATATGGCACCTCCACACATGCCTCTTTGGCATAAGGACTATTGTGAGCTGATTATCGTGAGAAACTGCAGGTACAGGAGAAGCTCTGAAAACAGAGTACAAGTTACCCTTTGGTTAGGTAAATTTACATTTAATAAAGAGATCTCCTATCGTAGGGGTGTCTCTCTCTGTGCCAGGAAGACAGGAATGACTCTAAAGTGCAAGAGACTCTTATGAATGGAGAAAGCAAGGACTGAAATCTGCAGAACAAGCCTTGCTCTTGTTTACCATACCTTTCCCAGTCACCTCCCCATAACCAGCTTTCCTCACACACTTCTTTCTTGTTCTTAGCTGAAGATGACAGGTAAGCCTGAATTTTAAGTCACTCTGTGGGTTACTCATTCCCTGGGTCTTCCCCACATATTCATGAAGTATACATGTTCATAAACTTCTATTTGTTTTTCCCTTGTTAATTAGTGTTTTGTTAGAGAGGCCCTAGTTGAGAACCTAAAAGGGTGGAAGGAAACATTTTCCCCCTCCTACAGTGTACAGTTGAGTGGTATTAAATACATTTACATTGTTGTGCAACCATCACCGCCATCCATCTCCAGAACTACTCAGCTTGCAAAACTGAAATCCTGTACCCATGAAACACTAACTCCCCACTCAGCCCTCTCCCTAGCCTCTTGGCAACCATCATTCTCCTCTCTGTCTCGATGAGTTATCTACTCTAGGTAAGTACCTCATATGAGTGGAATCATACAGCATTTTTCTTTTTGTGACAAGGTTAATTCACTTAATGTAATAAAGGTTTTCAGGATCCACTACCCCAAAATGTGGCACCTTGACATAGTGAATTTTTTAAGCTGAGGGAATTTGAGAAACAGCATGTGCAGGAAGGTCCTTCTGGCTTTCCCCTTAAGCAGGTCATAAGACTTGCAGGCAGGAGCTGCTTTCCTAGACTTGGAGGAAAGCGGCAGTCTTAACTCCTGTGTTAGTCTGTTCTCACACTGCTACAAAGAATTACCTGAGACTGGGTAATTTATAAAGAAAATAGGTTTAATTGATTCACAGCTCCACATGGCTGGGGAGGCCTCAGGAAACTTAGAATCATGCCAGAAGGCAAAAGGGAAGCAAGCACGTCTTATCACAGCGAAGCAAAAGAGAGAGAGCGTGAAGGGGGAAGTGCCACACTTTTAAACCATCAGATCTTGGGGAGAACTCACTCACTATCACAAGAACAGCAAGGGGGAAACCCACCCCCATGATCCAACCACCTCCCACCAGGGCCCTCCCCTGACACATGGGACTTGCAATTCGATGTGAGATTTCGGCGGGGACACTGAGGAACCTGAATGAGTTGTTGCTGCTGTTAGAAGGCTCCCCCAGCAAGAACTCACAACGGAAGAAGGAAAAGATATTTTACCTCCCTGCAATGCACTCAGGGTTCTTCCATGTGGTAGCATGTTAGAACCTCCTTTATAAGGCTGAGTAATATTCCATTGTATAGATATATCATATTTTGCTTATGCATTCATCCATTGATGGGCATAGATTATTTCTAACTTTTAGCTGTTGGATCAATTGATCCAAATAAATATTATGTGTATATATAAATATATATGTATATATAAATATACAGTGATTATTTTTTAGATTAAAAATACTTGTGAAATTTTTTTTTTTTTTTGAGACGAAGTCCCGCTCAGTCGCCCAGGCTGGAGTGCAATGGCGCCATCTCGGCTCACCGCAAGCTCCGCCTCCTGGGTTCACGCCATTCTCCTGTCTCAGCCTCCCGAGTAGCTGGCAGTACAGGCGCCCGCCACCACGCCCGGCTAATTTTTTTGTATTTTTAGTAGAGACGGGGTTTCACCGTGTTAGCCAGGATGGTCTCGATCTCTTGACCTCGTGATCCGCCCATCTCGGCCTCCCAAAGTGCTGGGATTACAGGCGTGAGCCACTGCATCCGGCCAAATACTTGTGAAATTTTTGTGAAATGTAACTTTGCAAACTGTAGAGATGAACATACAGTGTCTTCTTTGGAACCCTTAATACTGTGAATTATTTTAGTCAGTCCTAATATTGAACCATCTTCAACTTCTTAGAATGATTAATAATTTTTATTTTTTAACAAATTATTTCTGAAAAATAAGACATTAAAGTTAAAACTTTATAATTTTATAGTTATAAAATTCACATAAAAATGAGTTTTTCTATATTCTTTAAATTTATCAACTGTTAACCTCTTACTATATTCATTCCCTGCTGCTTAGAGTTATATTTACTAAACTATTAGAGAGGAAGTTGCAGGTATCATTAACCTATTCCTCTAAATGCTTCAACATCTATGTACTAAAAACCAGATTATTCTCTTACACAATCACAGGGACAATTATCAAATTAGGAAATTGTTAATATTGACTCAATGCTATTATTTAAACGACAGTCTCCATTTAAATTTTGCCATTGTCCCCACAATGTTTTTTACAGCTTTTATTCCTCTGATCCAGGATCCAACCCAATCTGGTGCATTCAATTTAGTTGTCTTGTCCCTTTAGCCTGTTTTAATGTGGACACGTTTCTCCGGATTTATTTTTCTTTCATGACAGTGAAATTTTGAGTAATACAGGTCAATAGCTTACAGATTGCCCCTCAAATCTAGTCTTTCTGTTTCCTAATGATTAGACTCAGCTTATGCATTTTTAGCAGGAATACGGTAGAATTGACGCTGTGTCCTTTCAGCGCATCCCACCTATCAGGAGACATCGGATGTCAGTCTATCCATTTTTGGTCATGTGAACCTAGATACCATGATGCCTAAGAGGTTAAATTAACATTTTCTTTTTTGTAATTAATAAGTAATCTGTAGAGGTGGGCCAATACCCAAGATTACAAAGTATCTTTTTCTTATCTAAATTTTACCCATAAATTTTAGAATCTCTTAATGATTTTTGCCTGTATCAAATATTACTATGCTGGTTGCAACATAGTATTTCAAACTCTGTCATTTCTTTTGTATATTTATTGGTTGGCATTTTACTATAGGGAAGAGCTTTTGCCTCTTCTTAGCTCCTCCCTCTTGCTTTTCTTCCTTCCTTGCCCCGTCCTTGTGTTCCATGAACACATGAGTTCCTTTTACCACCAATGA
This sequence comes from Homo sapiens, assembly GCF_000001405.40. NCBI lineage: Eukaryota > Metazoa > Chordata > Mammalia > Primates > Hominidae > Homo > Homo sapiens. Next base: position 11,371,695 of record NC_000018.10, read on the forward strand.
GTTATAGTCCATTACTATCCTTATGTATTCTTTCATTGTACTGCCAGATCCATTTCTTAATGTTTTATTTATCTGCCATCAATATTTATAAGTGATACTGATCTATAGTCTTCCTGTTGTATACTACCTTTATCTGGTTTTAGTAAAGCTTTTATTTAGGTGTGCTAAGAGTAATCAACAAACTCTTGAACAATCAAAGTAACAGAAAAATTCATCTGTTTCTTCTAAGTTTGGAAAAACTTTCTTACAAAAGTTTTGAAAATGAGTAAATCTTTTGGTCTCTCTCTGTCAGTTTCATCAGTTGTGTGGTTATACTTTCATTTTATCCTAGATTTAATCTTGTCTAGTACTGATTGAGGTATTCTTTTATAAATATTTTATTTTTCTCAAATCTGGTTCTTTTTCTCTTCTCATTTCTAATTTGGCCTTCTTAATCTCTTCCTACTTACCTCTTGATTTAGCTATCTATTGAATTTTATTAGAATTATTATTTATTTTTCACTTAAATGTATAGCCCTTAATATATGTATCAATTCTATCTTTTTTTTTACTTACAATATACAACTTTATTAATTTTTCCCTTCTGCTTTTCCTAGGTTTGTTTTCCACTACTTTTTTACAAGCTAAGTTTTATTTTAAATTAGATTTTCCTCTGAGAAATAAGGTTTGGCAGTAAGTCATGAATTTTCATTTGGAATGCTCCTACTATCATTATTTTCAAAATATTCTGCAATTTCAGACTTGACTTCCTTTTTGGTCCTAAGGTTGTTTTTAAGCCGTTTTTATAATTTCAAAATGAGTGGGATTTTACTATTTTGTTTTTACAGTTGGTATTTATAATATTATTTCATAGCCAGAGATACGTAATTTTTACTCTTATTTTCTGTTTGTTTGTAATATAATATATTACTAGTTGTTATCAGTTCAGTGTCTGTTTATAAGGTGTACATTTAAATGTATTTTAGATACTTGATAAACCTTATCTCATTCAAATATTCTGTAGAGGTACTTATTATATATTTGATCATGAAGGACTGAGAAAAAGGTGTGTTAAACTCTCCTATTTGTGCTTTGTGTTGCTCTCTCTCTTTATAATGTATAATACTCCATACCAAAATAAAAAGAACTTTTCATGACTGAAATTTAACTTTATATTACATCCTCTGCTTTATATTTTATTTAAGTTTGCCTGTTGGTTCTCTGTTCAGTTTGTTATTGAGTAGATCAAATTTAACAGATGAAATGAAGCGAGGCCCAGACAAAAATGTGAGTGGGCAAAGACCAGGCTGCCTCTGTCCTCCCCTCCCGTCTTCTCCCACCCGGCAGAGTTCCTGCCACTGAGCTTTCCCTGCACAGATGAAAAGTAGTTAGGATGGAGGTTAGGGGTTAATGGGCTGCAAGAAGCCTTATCCCCCTAAGAGGTTTTGTCTAATTAAATAATTCAAACTTAAAGCTGTTGGAACTTTAAATTATTCTGAGCTTTGAAAGAAATGTGGCTATGTAGTAGCTTGAGTCATGTGACATGCAACTACAACTTCTGCACTTTTTTCCTGTAAATAGTTAGGAAGACAAAAAGGCACCTGAGATAAGACCTCCTCAGACCACTGCCCCTCATCAAAGAGTAATCAAGTAATCTTCCTTGGGATGTAGCAATCTGTAAGCAATCAAATTACTTGCTGTATATGTACTGATCCTGTATTGAAAATGTTTTAATTCTACAGTTTCTGTGTCTCTGCCTATATGATTCTCCACTTTGAAATGCTGACTCCATTCACTTGGAATTGGTGTTCCCAGTAGCCATCCTCAAGCTTTGTGTTTCAATAAACTCTATACTTAATTATATTTTCTGAATCTCATTATTTGAAGTTAATAGTTTTGTACCTACAGTAATGAATCTCAATGAATAAATTAGTCTCTGTCACAGTTAATTTTTTTCATCGTTGTTGTCGTTGGTGCTATAACCAAATACCTAAGACCAGGTAATTTATGAATATAAAAGAAACTTCTCTCTTATGGTTCTGGAGGCTGTGATATCCAGGGTCGAGGGACTGCATCTAGTGAGGGCCTTCTTGCTGGTGGGGACTCTCTGCCAAGTCCTGAGACAGCACAGGGCATCACATGGTGAGGGGGCTTATGAGCCAAACTAGCTTTTATAACAGACCCAGTCTCGTGATAACTAACCCATTCCCTTAGTAACTCATGAATCCATGAATTCATGAATGGATTAATCCTTTCATGAGGGTAGAGTCCCCATGACCCAATGACTTCCCAGAGATTCCACTTCTTAACACTGCTGCACAGGGGACCAAGTTGCCAACACATGACTTTTTAGGGAACACATTCAACCTATAGCAGTCCCTATGACAAAGTGAGAAATATCTTTTGGTGCAGATCACGCTGTTCCTAATGCACATGAGCCTCCTTTGGTGCTATTCCTTGTAGTTGCTACACCATGCCTCTGTTGTTGGAAGGGTCTTATCTATTGTTTAAACTCTTAAGAAAAAGTGCTTTTCTGCACACTGTGAGAGTATCTGTAATATTTACTGTGCCTGCAATGTGCTAAGCACTGCTCTACTGTCTTGAACCTTACCCTCAAGTAGTAATAGCTCATTTCTTCTAGATCCTAATGATATACCAGGCATTGAATTAGTGGCTTTCATAGTGGTTCATATCAACCCCACAAAGTTGATATCAAGAAGCTTTCTGCTGAGGCAGGAAGATCACTTGAAGCCAGGAGTTCGAGACCAGCCTGAGCAATATAGCGAGACCCTAATTTAAACAAAACAAAACAAAAATAAGAACAAAAAAGAAACTTTCCAGAGATCATACAGCTATTAGCTATGAGAATTTGAGACCAGTTCTGCCTAACTTCCACACTATCTTTTTCTCAAGCTTCAGGTGGCCAAGAATCACTTAGGGTGGTCATTGAGAATTCCAACACTCGGTAACACCAAATTCTGATTCTATAGGTCTGTGGTGGGGCTCAGGAATCTAAATTTTCATTACGTGCCCCAGCTAAATCTGAAACAAATGGTTTATATTCCTCACTTTGAAAAACTACACAAATTATATGGGTTAAGGCCAGGAGGTATAATTATCCCTCCAACAGCTGCTCTCACTCACTGGCTAAGAACCTTATCAGAAATGTAGATTTTGACCTCTGATATGAAAGTCTCATAAAATATCTGCTGATTCTGTGTTCTCTAATGTCACTGGGGAAACACATTGGAAAATAATACAAGTTTTGTTCTGATCATTCCAGCTTTAAGTCACTACGGTGTCTAAGAAAGCTGTTATTCAGATCAGGCACAGTGGCTCATGCCTGTAATCCTAGCACTTTGGGAGGCCAAGGTGGATGGGTCACTTGAGGTCAGGAATTTGAGACCAGCCTGGCCAACATGGTGAAACCCTGCCTCTGCTAAAAATACAAAACTTAGCTGGGCATGGTGGCATGCACCTGTAATTCCAGCTACTTGGGAGGCTGAGGCAGGAGAATCGCTTAAACCCAGGAGGTAAAGGTTGCAGTGAGCCAAGATCATGCCACTGCACTCCAGCCTGGCAACAGAGTGAGACTCTGTCTCAAACAAACAAACAAAAACAACAGAAGAAGAAACCTGTCATTCAATCAACATAGGGTTGTAATTTATTACTCATATTTACGAAGTTTTTAAATAATTCACATCTCTGAATCAAAATTATTCAATATAGTTTTCCCCTTTGTACTTATGATGTCAAATACAACCTAAAGTATTAGAGAAAGAAAGACATAACACTGCAAAAAATTAAAAATATATATATTCTGCCAGGGCACCCTCCCTCATTCGACCATTTTCATGAGGGTATTTTTGTTGAACACAGAGAGCTCTTTATTCTCTTTTAAGTTGTAACAGCAAGAATAACTTGGATGACTGTTTGACCCTTACCAGTTGGGTAACTTTATTTGATAGAAAAATAAAAGCCCTATATTTAAAAGTGAGTAGCAGCAAGTGACCGGTCAGTAACCTCCTTCAAAGGAAAGACCACAAAATTCAACGCAATGGTTAATCCAGGCACAGCCCATTCATCAATCTGGATGTTTCAATCAATTTCCCTCAAAAGTCTCAGTCTTCATGACCACTATAGAAAACAGACCAAGAGCCCAGAGTTTAGAGTGGGAAAATCTGGGAAGATTGGTAACTGTCTCTTAACTGGATATTTAACTTTGAACAAGCTGTCAAATTCTCTGAACCTCAATTTAAAGAAGCCATACCATTATCTGAGGGGATCACTGTGAACATTAAAGTGAGATAGTATGTAAAGGTTCCCTGCTACAACATTCCTGATTAAGTTCTTGTCTGTGACGGAGCAACGACAAGAGTATGGTTAGTCCCGGGTTGTTACCATTCTTAAAACGTTGCTTTGTAGTTTTACTTAGGTAGAGGCACTTCTTATTATTCTTACAACATCATTCAGCAATTCATTCTCATAGTAGATGTACTGCATATTATTTAATATGGTTTTCCTACTAAACCAGTTGTATATGTTTGATAGGTAACTTCAACAAAAGCGACAGACAACTGGAAATATGAGATCCATCTTCTGGTCCACAGACCCCCAAAATTTTCAGATGATGTGGTAGGAGCAGAAGGCAGGATGGAGGGAGTGTGGTAGGGGAGTGTGATGTACTCTTGGTTCACAAGTCTGTTAAAATCATAGTAAATCCAAATATATTAGTTGTATGTATTTGGCTTTCATAAGCATTTTTAAATTAGTTAGTTTTTCTAATTGACAAATATATTTTTTAAGGATTTCTTTGAAGAAAAGCTTTTCCACTAAAAAATCTGGGAAACCATTGATGCTACATGAGGTTCTCATCCAGGGGAAGAAAGATGGAATAATTTTCCACCTCACATGGCAGAACCTGGGCTTCCAAAGCTTCGACCAGTTTTCTTCAATTCCAGCATGAGGAAATCTATAACTATAAAATGCCTCCAAGATAATTCAGTAAGGGTTAAGCCCCACATGTTATATAACAAAGACAGGTTTGATTTCTGTCCTCTTCATACCCTAGGAATGTAGGAATCAGCAATCAGTATTTGGAGGGAAATTAAAAAAAAAACATAATTGGTATTTTAAGTTGGTCCTGTGACCCAAATTATATTTATTTGGAATATTTTCTTTTTGATGTGAAACTAAGCATTTATTTTAAAAGTTATAAAGCACTGGTTTTATAGTGATTCAGTGGAAGGAGATTAAATATCCTAAACGGCATGCATACCTGGATTTTTTTAACCCTCTTGAACGAGTCTAAGAAATGCATTCCAAAAATCACAACTCTTATGTTAACTTGAAATCCTGTCTGACATGAGGGACAGCCCTGGTATTTTGTGGGAGCTTGGGGGATGCGGTATGGTGGGAAAAGAAGCAAGAAGTTACTAACAGTCAAGCATCACTTTCTCATAAAAAACATATTGAAATAAGAGTCCAGAACTCTTATACATTTGGTTCATAATCAAGTTTTGGTTTAAGCCATTAATCTCCGTGCAGCGGAGAAAAAAGCAAAGTTGCGTTGTTTTAGCTGACAGTCATTATCATTTTCATCAGTCTATTGTTCTACCTCACTGCAAAGCCCCAAAATTCTGAGCAGGGAACTAAAAGGCTAGGCGTTAATCTTTCTGACCATGAAGGAATATTAATCTTCCTATTTCAATGATCGCATTTGCTCTAACACAACTGAAGGAGAGAGAAAAGCTATTGTCTTCAGCAGAAAAAGAATCTGTCTCAAAAAGAGACAGTCAGGATGGGATTAATCCATTTCTTTGGGAGGTCTCTCATCTTAAAATAATTTGAGGCCGGTTGCAAAATAAAAATGAAATAGCTAGAATAGGAGGCAAGCATAATAGGAGATGCTATCAGGTGCCTGCAATAGGTCAAGTGTCTCCCGTGCCCAGAAGCCAGCCTAAAGCACAATGAGTTAGCATAATTCTATTTTTCTGACAAAAAAAAAAAAAAACAATATGTGCCAACAATACATCTGTAGAACATGTCTTTGGCTATAAGTTGGCTGAACCAAGAATGCCTCACTCAGTGCTGTATACAGAAGATATGGTCACTTTGGTAGCTTGGTACCTTGGAAAAAAAATATTGATTAATGTGACGCCTGAGGCATTTAATTAGAGCTTCCCAAAAGATTGTTGAGACCTTTTCAAATGCGCTATTTCTGTATCAATACTCAGTGAGAGCTGAAGACATCATGTAAGTGAGTGATAAGGCTGTGACTGTATGTCTGCCTTGAGTGCTTGCAGGAAACAGAGGGCACAGCCCAACAGAGTGGCGTAGGATTTGGTGAGGGGGATATTGACAAAGGTGGAGAAGAGGAATGGGGAAAGCCTAGGGGCTGGGCAGGACCCCAGGGCTAATGACAGAGGGCAAAGAGGAGAAGGAGGGCACCAGGCCTGGGAACCAGAGGTCAATAAAGGACGCTGGGCCCTAGGGCAGAGAGGAATCTGTTCCTCCTCTGTCCTCCTTCCTCCTGCCGAGGCTGCCCATGGGCCAAAGGAAAGTGAGAAATCAAGACAGACTGTACATCCCGTGTCCAGAATGCTGCCTGAGCGCAGGAGGGCGGCGAAGTGTGGAAGGTGAGAGCGGCTCCGCCGGCCCAGGGGAGGCCTGTGCAGTCCTGGGGAGGCCTGGGCAGTCCTGGGGAACCCGCGATGAAGTTCCGCAGAGGAAGCTGTGGGAGACAGAGGGATCTGTGTCAGAACCTGCATCTACCTTTGCCCGCTACATGGCGGAGGCAGGTCACCTACTTCAAGGTCCCCATTGTGGTACAGCACCATTCGGAGGGTGGTAAGAAAGAAAAGAGTTACCGTTTCTTTATTTATTTGAGACAGGGTCTCCCTCTGTCGCCTAGGCTGGAGTGCAGTTGTGATCTCAGCTCACTGCAGCCTCCAACTCCCAGGCTCCAGCGATTCTCCCGCCTCACCTGCAGGGACTACAGGAGCCGGCCCCTACGCCCGGCTAGATTTTCATTTTTAGTAGAGACAGGGTCTTGCTACCTTGCCCAGGCTGGTCTCAAAATCACTGGCTCAAGTGATCCTCCCATCTTGTCCCCTCAAAGTGCTGGGATTACAGGCATAAGCCACTGCGCCCAGCCACAAATTACCGTTTCCAGATGCTCAAGCCTCCGCACATAAAAGCATCAGATCTGAGCTGGCTTCAGGTGGCCTTCTGCCGACAAGAGTGGGAGAGGATGCGTTCGTGTGGGCAAAGATGTGCTCTGTCCAGGAAGTGGCCCCCAGGAGCCAGACAGAAGGTAAATGTGCAGCGGGAGTGCCAGGATGCTACGCCACCTGGCAGGTGCCTGGGGGAAGGGGCGCACAGATGAGAGGCCGCTCCTCAGGCCCTCCACCCCACCCTCGGACACACTCGTAGCTGCAGAGGCACCATCCCCAAGTCCCTTTCCGCAAGGGGGAACGGCTTCCTGTGCAAATGGCAGAAGGAGAAGGCGTGTGGCTTTGGAGTCCACCCACAAGAACCTTACCATAACGTCACATGCCAAATGGTAACAACTTTAGGACGACGACAGACTGCCAGTTAATTCTGAGGAAAATCCCCCTGAAATCATTTTATAGGTAGGCAAGGTGCGGATACATAAACCAGAAACAAGCACACAGAGGCCTCCTTGTTTCTCCAGCCCAGAATGAGTGAAACAGCCCTGCAGACTTGGGAGCTGGGCTCTGGCAATGACAACTTGCCCCTATCCAGCAAGCCGTACCCAAAATCACCAAATAACTCAGGCATATTGTAAATTGCGCATCTGGCAGAAAAGTCGCTGTCGCTTGTTTCAAAGCTGCTAGTAACCTTATGAGATCCTTCCTGATGGAGTTAAACCCGTGGTTTGTTGATAGAATATCCAAGCATTTGACAGGCTTGCAGGGTGGCCGCACCCCAGGCCAGTTCCAACAGTCAAGCCTCTGGGAAAAGCTCTCGAATTAAAGAAAAATATTCTCCTCATTCACAAAACTCCTTCAATGGACTATTTATTGACTTAGGAGCTATTTCTAGATATATCCTGTCTTCAGAAGAATTAACAGGAAAGCACCATTTCTCCAAAAAATGTGTGACTGTGAGAAACAGAGGCTCCCATCTCGCGCTAACTGAGGCGAACCCTGGAGGGCGCTGCACTGGCGAGGACGCTGCGGTCTTAGATGTGCACAGCACTAGGTGAGAACAGACACAGAGGGACCGGGTCACAGGCTCCGGAAGGTGCTGTGGACTTGCAGAGGTCCTCACTCTAGGAATAAGTACATAAGGTAGGTCAGAGCTATTGGGAGAGACTGACTGGAAATGTACTGAATTTGTAATCTTGTATAAGTTTCATGACTGTTATTCTGAATCCATAAGCAGAGCTTCCAGTCATTCAGGGAAACAAACAAAACATCCTTTTAAAATACCGTTGCTCCAAAGACCATTGGAATTACAATAAAAATTGAAGACAACTGTCTTTTTGCACAGTACAGCTCCTTGTGGAAAGGTGGCTATTCTTGATTAGTTTTCTAACATTTATCACCACTCTGGGGCAGGCTCGTTTCTAAGCTATTAACTTGTTTCTTTCATTTTGTACAGTTAATAGAAATAAAGAAATGCTGTGGCCAGGCAATAAGAGGAAATATTTCTCATAACAAGGAAATTAAGATTTTATTTTACTGTTATTACTATCATTATGGTTAATTGCAGCTTATTCGTGACATTACAGAGCTAATGAGAAACTTGGATGCTGTCTTGAATACGTCATTCATTTTTCTTTATGAGGTAAGACATGCCAAAAGTGCAAAAGTCAAAAAAGGAGGAGAGGAGGAAACTGGTGGGAGAAGTGGGCTCTTCTTTCCTGACAACTATGGAAGAAAGCACTGGGCCGCCTATCTGCTGTGGATAGATTAAAGCTGGTGAATGTGAAGCAGCAGAACACGTCTGTTACTCTTGTCAATCAGGAATAACGATGGTCAGGGAGACCAGCAGGAGTGCTAACAGAAAGGAGCCCAGCAATGGAGGATGCTCTGAGACAGGCCCCAGCTGCTCTCAGTGCCCTGGCATCCTAGCTTTCCAAGACCACATCAGCTTTACCTTGAGGGCTCGACGAGGACATGTAAGTGTCCTCGTGGTGCCAGCCAGGGCCCTGGTAAGATCCAAAGGCACAGCCCAATTTGGTGATGTGGGGAGAGCCTGAGGAAGGGATGATTTCCTAAGGTACAAGGAGCCAAAGGGGATAGAGCAAAGCCTGGGACTAAAAGCACTGGACATTCTTACTACCCTTTAAGAGGTCAGTGAGAGGAAGCAGCTCTAGAAAGAGAGAGAGAGAGAAGAAAAGGGACTGAAACCTGTGAACCAGAGGTAGCCAGAGCAAGATCACTGCCAGAAAGGAGCAACGAGCCAGAGGAGGGAGCTGGACAACAAAGACCTCCAGCCTCCGACAGCCCTGGCAGCCTTGGCACAGCAGCCCATTGCAGGGTGAAGGAGCTCTGGATAGACATATGGAAGACAGCCAGCATGCTCATCCAACTGCTGTTCATTGCCCCTGCTGGCCCTGTTTACCGAATTGGGAAAATGTCAGGAGGGACTGCAGTCTGGATGCCCAACTGTAGGGACACAGGGGCTGGGGGAGTCTAGGTTACAAGCAGCTTAGTACCCAGGAGGTATGTGTATTAGTCCATTCTCACACTGAACTGGCTGGAGCCAGAGTAGCCAGGATGCAGAGTGCCTTGCCCCAAGGCTGCACAGAACAGTGGGGCCCTGGGCCTGGCTCCCAAAACCATTTTCTCCTCCAAGGCCTCTGGGCCTCTGATGGGAGGGGCTGCCACAAAGATCTCTAAAATGCCTTGGAGACATCTGCTGGTTATGCAGTTCCAAAGTTGCTTCCACATTCTTAGGTATCTTTATAGCAATGCCCCACTACGTGGGTTCCAATTTTCTGTATTAGTCTGTTTTCACACTGCTATGAAGAACTACCCAAGACTGGGTAATTTATTAATGGAAAGTAGTTTAATTGACTCACAGTTCCTCATGGCTGGGGAGGCCACAGGAAACTTAACAATCATGGTGGAAGGCTAAGGAAAATCAAGCACCTTCTTCACAAGGTGGCAAGAGAGACAAGAGTGAGGGGAGATTACCAAACACTTTTAAACCATCAGATCTCCTGAGAACTCATTCACTATCACAAGAACAGCATGGGGGAAACCATCCCCATGATCCAATTACCTCCTAACAGGTCCCTTCCTCCACACGTGGGGATTACAATTCAAGATGAGATTTGGGTGGGGATGCACAGCCAAACAATATCAGTATGACAACACACAGTAGGTAGTTAGCCAGGCTGATCCAACTCCAGGAACACAGTTCCCTGAAAGCAGATCTGCAAATGGCAGTGGGGAAACAAGGCCTTCCTGGGCCAGGTGGTATTCTGACATCCAGGCAATGTCATGAGCCTTGCTGGCAGGGTCACAAGTCTCAGGATGGGCTCAGAGAGACTGCTTCTAATCCTGAGTGATGGGTTGACCTGTAGGCAGATTTCCAGGGCCTCTGTGCATGGGGGGAGAGGGGAGCTTGACTCCTGCTAAGATCTGAATTCATTTTGAATGGGCTAGTAGAGTTGTTTGAGATCATATTTAACTCATAATAGGAACAGATAATGAGTCTCTTCAAAAACAAGGTTTTATTTTGTTATTAAATAGAATATTTGTTGGTCTCCTCCTCTGTGCTGAGTATCAACCCAGGTGAAGAGATACAGGGACCAGCAAGACGTCAACATGTCTCATGGAGTTCACTTCGTAGAGGATCTAAAACCAAAAATATTTATTTTTGTGCCCAACTGGAATGCTAGTTCCTTAATAAAAGAGACTCTGTATATCTTGTCCTTATCAGGATCTCAGAACTGAGAAGTATTTGTTGACTGACTGGCTCATGATAGACATATTCAGTAAGAACTAGCCTGTTAGACGAAGACATTTTCTTCTGGTGCTTACTGAAAAGTATTTAATAGACAACCAAAAACTGATGATGCATATGAAAAGGTATAGTCCTGTGATAAATGAAGAATTATGACTCTTAGCTATAGGAGGAAAATGGATTTATTTCTGCCATGGTAAATTTATTACATTTGATCAGACCAGAAAGAAAAAATAACAGAAGAAGACATTTTGATGTCTTGCCCCTTCCATTTGTAGAAGAGGGAAATAAATATGGCATCACTATTTTACCTGCCTGAATATTCAAAATTCTGCATGTGCCAAGTCTCTCCTCAAAATGAGTACCTGACTGGAGGAAAACATTTCCAAGGGAATCATATTTTACAGGGCGTTGAGTCTATATCTTTGGTGCCCACATTTATTCCCATTAATTTAATTTTTTTCCAAAATCTCATTTAAAATTTAGTGCTAGCAACTGCCAGATTTCAATCAGTCATTTTAGTAACAGTCCTTAATCTTCCATCCTTGACCCTGTTGTTTCATTCATTGACAAGATTTATAACAGAATTATTGACTCCATATGACATAGTGTTTTTTCTGGGATCAGTTACATTACTTGAAAATGGGGAAGGGCTCCTGATGGTTGTTTTGAAAAATCTGCCCAGCATAACAATTGATAACACTCTAGTCACCCAGAGCAGGAAAAGGGAAATTAGTAAAACATTTCTCATAAAGAGCAAACTTTTGAACTTTTTGTACTTGTTTTTCTCTCAGAAATATCAGCAGATTCATCCACTTCGGTACAAAATGATTGGAAAAGCCCATTTTTTTTTTAATGGAAAAACTACTTTTCAAGAACTATGATTTTGTGTGCCCCCCCAGGGAACTTGGAGTTGAAAGCCAAAAATGAAGGAAATTTTCAAACTCAGGGAAAACTTTGGCAGTCAGCCCTACTGAGAATAAGAACAAGTTCCTTCACAGCTCTGTGTGCTAAGAAATAAGGCAGAATTCAGGAGCTGCCATGCCTACCATTCTGGAGAGGCTGGAGTTTCTTCAGCTCACTATTATCCCTGGTGTGAAAGCAGAAAAGAGGTGGCATGAACTATGGAGTTGCTGGAAAAAGACTATCTGTCATGTTACCAAAGGAAAACAAAAGTCAAACCAATAATAAAACAAACAGGAGAACTAAAGTCCTGTTGAAAATTCACATCAAATGTGAAAGAATCCCCAGGATTCTAGAGTTTCACTTTAGTTTATTTTGGGAGAAGGGACAATTCCATTAAGAAAACCAACTGAATACCTCATTTCCTTTTCATATCTTAGGATAGGTAAAAGGGTGCAAATAAGAAAAAGAAGAGCATTTTATCTTTTTAACAGGGTAAAACAAATATTTGGACTCAAGGAAGGTGTCTCAAAAAAGAGAAAGAAAGCACTATTATTCTTGATTATAGAGAGAAAGATCTTTCCTTTAGCCACGTATGGATTTCTCTATGGGCAAATAATACACATATTTACTGTTCTGCATTGATGTTACTCTCCTCATGGAACTTAGTGAGTCAACCAGGAAGTAGAGAAAGATGAAATAAGCAGTAATTTAGTATAGACAATATGAAAAATCACCAAAAAAAAATTTAATTGCATAGAGCCACATGGAGCTCTCAAGAGTTGAAAAGTTTCTGATTAAAGTTCGGAACTTTTGAAATTTTTCAACTGCTTTCCTGTTGGATGTCTACTACTTGCTTTTTAAAAAAATAATCTGGGCCAGGCGTGGTGGCTCACACCTGTAATCCCAGCACTTTGGGAGGCCAAGGTGGGTGGATCACAAGGTCAGGAGATTGAGACCATCCTGGCTAACGCAGTGAAACCCCATCTCTACTAAAAAATACAACAAATTAGCTGGGCGTGGTGGCAGGCGCCTGTAGTCCCAGCTACTCGGGAGGCTGAGGCAGGAGAATGGTGTGAACCCGGGAGGCGGAGCTTGCAGTGAGCCGAGATTGCGCTACTGCATTCCAGCCTGGGCGACAGAGCAAGACTCCATCTACAAAAAAATAAATAAATAAAATAAAAAATAATGATAATATGGCTGGGCGCGGTGGCTCACGCCTGTAATCCCAGGACTTTGGAATAAAATAAAACAAAAACAAAACAAAACAAAATTCCACTTTGGAAAACAATGAAGTAATAGAGGGCATCAATAACTTTCAGCTATAAAGAACACTACCCACAGCCTGGGGAAGACGCATTGCAAAGGCAAAATGAAATAATTCCTGGATCTCACACGTGGCCAGGAGGACCGTTTGCTCCCAACAGCCAGATTGGTACAGACCTCACAGTGCACAGAGTGAAAGGAAGAGGACTTAGAAGGACCTCACCTTGGCAGTGCCACCGAATTAGTCTTCCATTACAGGCTGTACTGCTATTGCCTAAGAAAGTTTAAGAGCAAACTGTAAAATAATCAGACTGTTTCCACGGAACGTAACTGTGCTCTAGAAAGTAACTCATATATATTTATAAGAATAAAAAAATTCCCAGAATTGGCAACATAAAATCACAATGTTGGGCATTCAGTCAAAAATTACCAGTTCTGCAAAGCATCAGGAAATAACCCATAATAAAGAAAATTATTAGCCAATAGAAATAGACCCAGAAATGATAACGATAACAATATTTGTAGACAAGGACATTTCCAGTCACTATGCCTTTCTTCTGTATGTTCAAGAAGGTGTAGGAAGGCATGAACATGTGAAGGAGGGACACAAAAGATATTTTAAAGCCCAGGTTGAACATCTGCAGAAAAATACATTTGACAGGACTATCAGCAGATTAGACATTGTATAATGAAAGAGCAATACATTAGAAAACGCAGCAATACACATGATCAGAAATAAACACAAGGGAGCTAGAGAAAAAGGGACAATGTAAAAAGGTATGCTATATCTGTAACTGGAGTGCCAGATGGAGCATAAAAACACACTTGAAAATCTGATGGTTAAAAATTATCCAAATGTAATGAAAATTATAAGCTTCCAGAACCAAGAACCTCGATGAGTGGCAAGCAAAATAACAAGGCATGAATTTTAAGAGAAAAGGACTGATAAATTTCATCAAGACTAAAAAAACTTTCTCTTCAAAAGACACTTTAGAAAATGAAAAGGTAAGCCACACACTGTGGGAAATATATGCTAAGTATGACTAAGTACTTCTATCTGGGAATACACAAAGAATATACAAATAACTTTTTAAATGGTAAAATCCAATTAAAAATATATATTTTAGCAGATACTTAATCAAAATATTATATAAATATGGCACACAACATGTACAAAGATGCTCAACATCATTAGTTATCACAGATGTGCACAGCAGAACTATAAAGAAGGGACCACTACACCAGGAGGTCTAACATTTTTAAAGGCCGATAATGCCAAATGTTGTCAAGATAACTGGAATGGTCACACAGTGTTGATGAAAATCAAAAATGGAAGGACTGTTTTGAAAAGGTTTGACAGTTTTATAAAAATAAAACATAAACTGGCTGGGCATGGTGGCTCATGCCTGTAATCCCAGCACTTTGGGAGGCTGAGGTGGGTGGATCACTTGAGGTCAGGAGTTCGAGACCAGCCTGGCCAACCTGGTGAGACCGCCATCTCTACTAAAAATACAAATATTAGCCGGGTGCGGTGGCAGGCACTTATAATCCCAAATACTCAGGAGGCTGAGGCAGGAGAATTGCTTGGACAGGGGGCAGGGGTTGCAGTGAGCTGAGATAGAGCCACTGCACTCCAGCCTGGGCAACAAGAGCAAGACTCTGTCTCAAATAAATAAATAAACAAACTACCATTAGATGCAGCAATTTCACTCCTAGATACTTATGCAAGAGGAATGTAAGCATATGTCCACATATACACTTTTACAGATATAATTATAGAAACTTTATTTGTAATAAGCAAACACTGGAAACAACCCAAATGTCTGTCAAGGGCTGAACTGTATCTACCCAAAGTGTGTATATTGAAGCTCTGGACCCCAATCCCTCAGAATGTGCCTATTTGGAAATAGGGCCTTTAAAAGGGTGATTAAGTTAAAATGAAGCTATTAGGCTGGTTCCTCCTCCAGAAGAGGACATTTGGATACACGAAGAGACATCAGCGATGCACACACAGAGAAAAGACCATGCAAAGACGTCTGAAAGCCGAGGAGAGCGGCCTCGGGAGAAACCAAACCTGCCAACACCTGCTAATCTCAGACTTCTAGCCTCTCGAACTGTGAAAAATAAACGTCTGTTTTTTAAAGCACTCGGTGACATTTTGTTAGTTTTGCTAAAAAACTAATACAATGTCCATCAACAGATGGATAAGCAAATTGTTGTATCCTCACGCAAGGGAAAACTACACAGCCATAAGCGCAACAATTTACACATGCTGTGGTACGCGGATATGTAGTTGCCTGGGGATGGGGGTGGGAGGAAAAACTAAAATAATCGTACATTTAATGAGTACTGAATTGTGTGCACCAGGAAATTTACAATCAAATCATGAATACCACACATCCATCACCTGTCCTAATATTCTCATGCCCACCTTTGTAATGCCCACCCTTTTTTCTCCCAGGCAACTACAGATCTGCTTTCCGACACGATAGAATTGTATTTTCTAGAATTGGGTACGTTTCTGACACACGTTATGTTTTATATAGATATTTTGGTCTGGCTCCTTACACTCTATGTGAGTACATGGAGATTCATGTGTACCACAGCATGTGTAAACAGTCACTTCTCCCTTTGGGCTGTCTTTCCTATTTCATTAGGTTGCTTATAGTGATCCCGAAAGATGCAACTCACAAAGTAATCTTCCTAGAAACAGGAAAGTCTAAAAAGTAAAAAAATACATATGGGAAGAAATTTTTATTTCCCTTAAGGTATATTTTTCTGCCTATATCTGATATAATTTCAATTTTACGATGACCATTTTTCCCTACGTTTTCTCAACTGGAGATCCATTGACTGACACAGCTCTACCTTTTATCAAATACCCAATCAGTAACCTGCATGGTGCCACTCAATGGTATCCAGAGTCATCCACACCACTTCTACTGCCCCTAACCCAGGCTCATCTCTGAAATTTCATTATTCGCATTAGTCACTCTTTGGGTCTGATAATCTAAAGACTTAAAATGCAAAGTCCTTTTTTAAAAAAGAAAAACTGAAGCAATGATGCTTTGGTTTGAATTTCAAAGAGAATTGCCTTAACAAAGAGGCCCCAAGAGCACACAACACAGGACTAGGCACAGAGTCAGGGTGAGACACAGAGAAAGGGTGTGATCTACAAGCCAGTGCAGTTTGCAGGAAGAGGAGGACAGGATTCCTGGGCAGCTAAGGCAGTGATCAGACGATGGTACCTTGGACAACACAAGGGCACAACAGCCACCAAGCGGGACAGAAAGGAACTGCTGACACATCTGGCCACTTGCCAGTTTGGGCTGGGAATCCTGGAGGCACTAACATGAACTGTTTTGACGTACTCTACATAGAATCATAGCATTTCCACAGCTTCACTGAATTTTCAGAGCTGTAAAAATCATTTTCATCTTAGAGATGGGACATTGGAGGCCCACAGAAGTTAAAAGAGCGTCCAAGAATACATATCTAATTACTGGCACAACCGGGACAGAGCCAGGTGACCTACTCCAGGTCAGGGGTTCTTTCCACTACACCTGTGCCTGACTTGAAAGCGTTAGAATGCCCTTAGATTAAAACCAAATTTTGTTTATCATCATCAGCCAAGGTATTATCTCATTAATAATTGCAGTCATCACAATTATAAAGCATATAGGTTCCCTGACAGTAATGGTAGTAATAGTCGTAAATATTCATTATATGCACCTGAAAGCTGATGAGCTAGAACTGAAAGGAAAAACCATAAGCTGGTAGAAAGAATGAAGAAAGGAGGCTACAACTACTGCATAGAGCTGGCTTGAGTATTCCCAGGCCAGCAAAGACTTCCACATTTATAAGGCCACTTACTCTTCCTCCCAGACATTGAAAAACATCTGTCCAACTTGATAAGAAGAACCAAACTAAGTGGAAGTGTGCAAAAGAAATCCTTTGTGTTAAAGAACTATTATTAGTTTAAGTACAGTATTGCAGGTCCTAAATCTTGGTCCCTCTCTTAAGTACAGTATTGCAGGTCCTAAATCTTGGTCCCTCTTCCCATCACTTCCTTTTTTTCTCACCTTCTCACATGCAAAAACACATATGCATATGCATGTCTGTGCTGAGGACCACACAGCCAAGGGAACTGATAACAAGTGAGAAGAGTGAAATCCAGACAGGAAAATTAATGACATTCTTTCAGATGCTTCCGCTTCTCAGAGAAATCACAAGTGCATTAACTCATTTGATTCCCGCAAATTGCTTGTAAAGCCGGCAGCACCAGGATAATTATGCCTGTGTGGCTGATGAGGAAAGTGTGGAACGCAGAGGCATCTTCATTCTTATGATTAACCCAAGTGTGAGCATCCCTGTCTGGAACAAAGTCATTCCTTTCTGATTGATTACCTATTTAATTGAACCCTGAGCTAGTGGGGCTGCAGCTCTTACCTTTGAGGTCTATTAGAGTTCCATGGAGGAAGTCTTTTTAGTGCCAGGGACAGTATTGGGGTTCAGTGCTAAATATTTATCTACTAAATGGGAAAATTAAAATTTAAGAAAACCATCAATGCAGATAATGACAAAGACTCACAAATGAAGACATGCCTGCTATTTGTGTCCTATGCATTAGCAGAAACCATCAACAGAGTCAGCATACTTTCAACTGAAAAGACAACCACATTAAATGACTTCCGTGAACTACTTTGATGAGCGTGAGTAATGTTTTCAGTTAACAACACAAGAATTGAGTCTTCCATTATCACGAGATTTTTTCCTTCAGCATTAGTAGAAGCATCTCCAAGTTAGAGCGAACCGGAGACTTCCGCTGGTACAATAAAATCATAAATAATTAAAATGACTTAAGCTGCCCCTTTCTTTAACATTTCCTATCCAAAAGGCCCATAAATCACTTCAATAAAAGTGCCTTTTTTTTTTTATCAACCCTAAATCTGTGCTTAGGTCTATGTGCTTCTACTTGATTTTATGCATCAGATGTAGCAAGAGATGAATTGATTGCCTGTTTTACAATGTCACACATATGTGTCTACCACTTGGTACTTCTGGCAAGGGGAGGTCACAAAAAATAGATTTCACTGGAGACAACCACAATTTTCTCCTTCTTCCAGACGTTTCACTTTCCATAATCTGACCCAGATTATTAGCCACAATTAATTAATTCTACCTAAGGAGTCCTTTTAAGAGTAGACAGCATGGGAGTGACATAGCAACAGCCATAGCCTACTAAGTGCCTGGTACCAAAGATCCTTTATTAAATACTCAATATAATCATGCATGGTTTATCATATTTTCTCGATTTTACAGACTTAGTAATGGACTTGTCCATATTTATTTATTTCCATAAATAATTAGGAGAGCCTGGAGTTGCACCAAGTTCTCTCTGACTTGAAGAGCTTATCAATTAAAAAATAAGTCAGAGTCAGGGTGACTCTGACTCTAGCCCAATAAGTAGAAAAGGATATGAGATGTCCACTGCTTCAATTATCTTCAGAGCAAGATAACAACCATTTATTAAAGCAGGAGAGAAAGTATCCTATTGTTTAACTTCTGTAGGGACAGCGATTTCTTGGATTGCTTAGGTTTCCAACTTTGGACTCTTCTGTATATGTAGTGTAGATTCAGTTGTAAAATGTTGCTTCCTCTCTGAGAAAACTCTTCTGGTTCTACTGGACCCCTTCTAGACAGTACCTAGTGAAAGTAATACGGGTAAATAGCAAGCTGAAAGAGCATGACGGAGCTAGTCCAGTCCATATATACTGCAGCAAGATTGATTTTGAAGTAACAATCACTATGAATTAAAGGCAGCATGGCATAGCAAAAAAGGAATCAATTTGGCAGTCAGACATAATTGGATTCAAATTCCAGCTTCATCACTTAACTGATTAACCTTAAGAAAAGTTATTTAACCTCTCAGAGCACCTATTTTCTCATCTAAAAAATAGATTTAAGTATGACAGTCCTTGTATATACTGATAGGAATTTTCAGTGAGATAACGCAAATAAAATGTGATATATTAATGGTTATGAATAATTATTATGAATACATATTCATATCTATGTATAATCCCAATTTGTCTAGAGTAAGTTTGATTCTCCCTAGGTATACATGTAGGCTTACTGAGAAAATGTTCATCAGCATATTCCTTCACACATCTTCCATTTTTGAGAGAACAGTGTAGTGTGGTCTGAAGTAAATTGGGTAAATTTTGAAAACTGAATATCCCTAAATTTAGAAGGACACAGATAAGAACTTGGAGCAAAACAGATGAACATATTTGATTCTATAATAAAAGGATAGAGCAAAAAGCAACAAAAGAATTTGCTTTTTTCCTCCTAACTTGGCTTTCTAATAACATCATACATATTTTTGACAAGTGCATAACACCCTCCTAATCTGGATGGCAAGTACAAGAGCTGAAATTTGAGGGAGACACTTTCAAAACCTTCTTGAACTCATTTTTTTTTTGCAGGTGAATTTCAACTTGAGCAAGCTAAAGCAGAAAAATATGCATGTAAACACCACAAACTAAATTTCTTGATGTGAAGGCTATCTACTTAAAATAACTTCACATGAAAGTAATGAATTCACTCTCACAGTGGACAGAACAGATCAAGTTTGAGAGGGAAGACAAAAATTTCTTGGGATGCACTCCCCGTTGAGAGAACCTGTCAGATGATGGATTTTAGTAAATACCAAGAAAAAGCCCTGGGAGACAAAGCAACATGGCTTCCAGATACCAACAGCACAACCATTGCCTGTAACTCCTTCTGTACTTTCTTAGAGAGCTCCATAAAACAATATATTCATCAATGCAGGCATATTTACATTGCAGAAAACTCAACTTAGACTGGATTAAATAATTATGTATTGGTTCACGTACCTGGAAGTCCAATTGAGGAATAAAGTACAAGTTTTCTTGACCCAGATGCTAAGAGATGCTGTCTCGTCACTATGTCTTTTGCAGATTACTAATTCTATGTTGGCTGCAGGAACAGCTCATGCTTAGGTCACGGGCCGCTGGTGCACAGTTATCTTTTATGTTAATTGACACAAACCGAAAGGAAACACCCCAAAGCTAAGGATCAGCTTTCTCCTAAGTACAAGAGCTGACTAGGGAGAAATGGATACACAACGACTATCTAGGTACTATTTGAAAGAGTACTCATTTTAATGAGAGAGAATTTAATTCAAACTGTCCCCATTAATCAGGGAATAAACCTATGAAGAATAAAGATCCATTTACACTGCATTGGAACAGGCAAGGATAAAATTACCTTCTCTCTAAGATGTGTGGACAGAAAAGGTAAATCTTAGAACCCATGTCAGTTTGGCTGCATGTGACAGAACAATGCAAAATACCAGGATTAAGCAACATAGAAGTTTATTTTCCTTTCACATAAAAGAATCCAGAAAAAATCTGGTCTGGTGACGCTATGGTTTTAAAAAAGGAAACAAAAAATAATCAAGGGCTTCCAGTTCCTATTGTTCTGCTCTTCAGTGCCGGCTTCCATCTTCAATAGATTATCTCATCGTTAAAAGTATCTGTCTTTCAAAAGCTCTAGCCCGTCATTACTTCTACATTTCATTTCAAACAAAGACAAAGAAAAGCCAGAAGGGTGCCGCCTTACTCCCGCAAAGAGCCTTCTTGGAAGTCCTAAGGCAACACTTATGCTTGCATCTGATTGGCCAGAAATGTGTCACATGACCATATCTAGGTGAAAGAAAACTGCTGGGCTATGCAGTCTTTCAGCAGCATACCTTGCCCAGGCATCCACTCTCGTACAAAGGACACAAGGAAGAATACCAGAAACTACTGATTCTCTTATTCTCAGAACCTATGGAAGTGACCTAGAATAGCCAAGACAAATTGAAAAACAAGAATAAGTTTGGAGGACTTATGCAATTGGTTTTAAAAAATTACAGCAAACTAAACTAATCAAAAGAGTGTAGTATTGGCACAATATACACATCAATGGAACAGAACAGAGTATACAAAAACCGATGCAAACATACATAGTCAGTTGGCTTTTGGTAAAGATTCCAAGAAAATTCAATGAGAACAAAACAGTCCTTTTAAAGAATGCTTGCTGTAATAATTGGGTAACAGTTTGGGAGGAAAAATTAAGCTCAACCATTGCCTCACAATATACATAAAACATTAATACAAAAAGGTGTTATAGTTCTAAATGTATGAGCTAAAACTCTAAAACTTCTAGAAGAAAACAGAAGAAAATCAGTGTGGCATAAGGAGTCCTTGAAAAGAAGAGAAAACTCAGAAATCATGTTAGAAAAATATGGTAGAGAGGACTAGTTTGCAGCTCTGGACAGAGTAGCATGCAGAGGCTTGCATTGTGAATTTTAGCTCCAGATGGACTGCAAGAACAAATCAGCAATTCTCAGAGGACCTGCAGGCTCTCTGAAAGAAGCAGACAGCTCCTTGCAGGACACCCCAAATACTGTGAGTGCCCCAGGTGCAGAGGTGGGAAAGGGAGACCCTCCTCCCCCGAACACACCCCACCAACTAGAGAAGCTGAAGGTCTGTTTGCGGGAGAAGTTTTGGACTTGACCCGGAGCTGAGTCAAGTTAGAGAGCCAGTGAAATACAGGGGTAGGACAAAGCAGCAGAAAGGCCCTGGGAGCTCGCTCGGTCCCCAGCAGCCCATTCCTGCCTGGCACCACAAGGATCCATTGGGAAGGTGGGCAGAGGAGCAGGGGGTAAAACTCCACAGGGAGAAGGAATTCTCTCCCTTAACTTTGTAACAATTTGAACCCAGTGAGAAACCTCCTGGCCAGAACTCAGGGAGGGCAGGAATTCACAGGCAGGGGAAGAACCAAGCCCTTTTCTCTCACAGCTGGGAGGCGGATAGCTTCAGGCAAATTTTCAAGTCCTTCTCACCCTCTTCCTGGAAACAGACTTTGGGCTGTCGTGTGGGGTGTGGTGGGAGAGAGACCCGGCCCTTCAGTTTGTGTGGGAGCTGGCTGAGGCCCGTTACTGCTGGCTTTCCTCCACTTCCAACCTGCAGGACTCAGCAGAGGCAGCCATAATCCTCCTAGTTACACAATTCCAGTGTTGCTGGTGAGGCAAAATGGTGCATTCACTTCAGAAAATAATTAAAAAGAGGTAAAACTGACACTGACTGAAACCGCATACAGTAAGATTTTCTGTTGCTTTAAAACTGGCAGATAAATCACAATATCCTGAATTGTAGAACTGCAAAATTCGATCTATAAAAATTTGTCAAGAGATATAATTACTGTAAATAAAAATTCACAACAGGAGAAGTGAGTCTGTCAAATTTGATGGCAGAAAATATTCCTTAAAGGAATCAAATCTGTGTGTTAAATATAAAAGTTAATTCCAATGAGAAAATTACATGGAAATATGGAAGCTATTTAACTGTGCCATATAAAACACTGACCCATAACTTAGTTTGACATTATGGGATCTGTTTCAGAAGCCACAAGCTTGATGAACAATGTCTCAGTGTTGCCATAATTATAATTTTTTAAGTTTGTATTTTAAAATCTTCCATGTCAAAATGTCGAAGGTCACAATGGCCTGAGACCATGAATTTCCTTTCCCGTTACTGTGTCAGTGGGCGCACCACCTGAGCCACCCGTGGCCTTCCTTTCACAAGGAAAAGGAAGACATCAGCGTCTCCAGGTGCTCCTCTCAGCGTGACAGGAAGAATGGCAATCACTAAAGAAAACCAAAGAAAATGCATATATAACTGGATCTAAAGAACTCTTTCAAACAACATTATCTCCTCTCACAAGTTATTTTACCAAACGATGCTGCAGTGCAAACTGCAGAGCCCAGCAGTGCGGGTGAACATTCCGGTTTCTCTGTTCAACGTTACCTGTCCAGCACCAGACCCTTGCTGGGTCTTAGTGCAATGACACCAAGGATCACACCTGAAATTATTCGAGAGACAAAACCTAGAGGGAAAGGAAATTGTAGAAAGATTGCATTATTTACAAAGTTAAACCATTTTCTGGAATGTGTCCAAAATGGCTGTTATTGGGCAGGGAGACCTTGAGGGCTGTGATCAACCCATTTGGTTCTGCCCCATGTAAATAATACGGCAACTCATTCTGCCTATACCGATGATAATGAATTGCAAAAATGTACAATTGTGTACTTGCTGGAATTCATGATTCTTTAATCACTAAAAAACAGATATCAAATGTTACTTGCAAAAACCCAATAAAATATTTCTAATTGCATTGTTGCATTTAGTATCAATTCTCTCATTATGTACTACTGCTCAGTAGGTAATTAGAAATGCAATGCACTTATCTCCACCTATTTTTATTTCATCCTTATTTTTACAGCCTCATCTTTTCACATAACCCTGGCTGAAATAAAACGTGTACATTCAGCAGTCTCAAAGCAGGATAATTGCAGTGCTCTCTCTGTTCTTCATCATTCTCCCTTCAAGAAACTCAGTCAACTATTTTCTTCTAGAACCCTTCCTAACCAAAACAATCAAGAAAATGAGTTTTCATCTCTCAGTGTGAATCAACCACTCAAATGGTTTTACAAGTCGACCTCATGAGTGTAGGACTGTACCATTCATAGACACAAACTGTCTCCTTGTGGGCTGTCCTCATCGCCTGATGCCCGGCCCTGCTTTCCATCTGGCCATCATAGTCTGGATAATCCCTTCTTCCTTTTTCAGATCTCCTTTTTTGCTCCTGTTAGACAAATCTCCTTGCTGCCCAACTGAATCTACCCTTTGTTCTGAATGGAAAACTATTCTAAAAAACAGCAATGAATACGAAAAGTGATCCATCTGCAAAGGAGCAGGATAAAAGAAGTTCTGATCCTTGACAATAGTCCCCTGTATAGGAAATTTCCAATAATTATACCATCAATACACAACACCAAGAAACATCAGTGAGTCTTTTTCATTTCCCATTTGACAGTAGAAAGTGATTGAGTCTATAATAAATGAGTCTATAAATACTAGTTAATATCAATAATGAATGAATAAAACACTGGAGGGAAAAAGACTTACGCCATTTCAAAACTCGCTTAGCCAAAATGTGATCGAAGATAATCCACCATACTGGGTATATGCACACCATAGAATACTGTGCAGCCGTAAAAAGGGAAAGAGATCATGTCATTTGCAACAACATGAATGCAGCTGGACATTATCCTAAATGAAGTAATGCAAGAACAGCAAACCAAATACGATGTCTTCTCACACACAAGTGGGAGCTAAACATTGGATACTCATGGACATAAAGATGGCAGCAGTAGACACTGGGGACTACTAGAGGAGGGAGAGGAGAAAGGGCTGAAAAACAAACTGTTGGGTATATACTCAGTACCTAGGTGACAGGCTCATTCACACCCCAAACCTCAGCATCGCACAATATACCCCGATAATAAGCCTGTATATGTAGCCCCTGAATCTGAAATAAAAGTTGAAGGGAAAAAAAAGAATACACTATGCTGAAATAAAAAACAAGTAACAAACGCTTAATAACTACTAGGTCAAATACGACATTTAAACAATGAAATGATGGACTAATCAGAAATTAATGACAGTAGAGTTCACAAAATGTGGCCTCCGTAATTTTTGATTTGGGAAAAATGTTGCCTTTTTATTGTCTAATATATCATTAATTTAAAAAATATATTCGATGAACAACGGGAGAGTCATTTTTGTGTACAGGATAGAAGTTCATATGCATTTATTAGAATAGCTTATATAATTTAGCAAATTATTTGTATTTTATTAAAATTTAGTAATTTAGTAAATTTTCAAATCCTCTGTTTTCTGTATCACCATGCTGAGAGAGCTATTTTAAAGTTTCCCAATGCTATCATGTTTCTGTCAATTTCCTGTTGAAATGCTAAGATCTTTTGCTTTACATACTTTAATTCAATTTGTTTTAGCACAGAGTGTCATAGATGTTATACCGACAAAATGAATAATTGTTTTGTTTTTAATTTTTATTTCACAAGAAATATACAAAATTATAAAAATAACACACAGATGCCTGTGTACCACCAAATCAACTTGAAAACCAAAACACTGACTGAACAGTTAGTTCATCTTTGTGATCTCTCCCCGGGCTATCCATCTTCATTCATCCCAATTAAAACCTTTATACTAATTTTTAGGTTTATATTTCTCATAAATTTTTATACCTTTGCTAGAACATTCATAAATAATATAGTATTATAGGATACTTATATAGTGGAATTTTACGCAGCAATAAAAATAAATGACCTTGAGTAAGACTTTTCAAGTGATATAAATCTAAAAACCCTATTTAGCAAAAATAAGCTAGTACAGAAGAACATATGCAATGTGAAACTATTTACATTGTAATTTTTTAAAAAAAGAATTGTACCTTATATCTATCAAATAATCCTTGTTCTCCCACTTTAAGCCGTTTGCATTGAATTATCTTTTACTATTTAGTATACTGAAGTTTGGTTTGTTTCCATTTTCATGATTTATGTGTCCACACTTATGCTTTCATTCTTTTAAAGGCAGCTTTGCTTTAGATATGTTTATTTATACAAAATAAAATGTGAAAGGCTTTGTCTTTTAATACGGTAGTTAAACCAACAGCATATATAACTGAACTATTTAGACATCTTTTTATCTTGCTCTTTCATGTTTTTAAATTTTCTTGCTGTTTCTTT
This sequence comes from Homo sapiens, assembly GCF_000001405.40. Classification (NCBI taxonomy): domain Eukaryota; kingdom Metazoa; phylum Chordata; class Mammalia; order Primates; family Hominidae; genus Homo; species Homo sapiens. Next base: position 11,397,475 of record NC_000018.10, read on the forward strand.
TATTTTTGTTCTCTAGCCAAATAAACTACACGACCTTCATTTTTATCACAACCAGTGTTTTCATACATAATGGATAGAGAGATTGGCAAGATAGATGATTGACAGATTAATCAATTTATAGATACATCATATCTTGTTTTCAACAACCAGTTTCAGGCTTTTCAAAACTGTACTTAATCTATACTTCTTAACCTATTCCTTTTTTCATTGTCATAGTTAAGTCAAAAACAGTATATTTTTGTTTTCTTCTCTATGCAGTAGAATATTTTAATTATATTTTGTTTCCATCTACTCTTCCCTTCGTCCCCACTGCTAGACTTTATTTGTATAATTAAAATTCTAAATATTTTATTATATTATCATTTTTAAATATACATGTTCTTTTTTGAGAAAATGTTTGACATTTGAATTTTCTAAATCAGGTATACGGGTGTTTTTATTTATTTCAATTGTTCAACTTTTTTCCCATTTGCCATACTTCTCTTGCTACTTGTCTCCCCCTTTTTGAGATTAATGTAGACCTATCTTTCAAAGAGATGGGTTACCTTCAGATAGATATCACAAACACGTGCATGAACCATGTGTGAGCATGTGTTTATTTTGTCTTGACACATTAAAAGGTGGTGATTATAGAGGACAAAATCAGGCTTGGTGCAGTGGCTCATACCTGTAATCTCAGCACTTTGGGAGTCTGAGCAAGGAGGATCACTTGAGCCCAGGAGTTTGACACCAGCCTGGGTGAAATAGTTAGGCCCTAACTCTACAAAAAAAAAAAAAATTAAAAAAATTAAAAAAATTAAAAAAATTTAAAACTTTAGCCAAGTGTGGTGGTGCAATACCTGTGATCCTAGCTACTCAGGAGGCTGAGGTAGGAGGATCACTTGAGCCTGGAAGGTCAAGGCTGCAGTGAGCCATGATCATGCCACTGCACTGCAGCCTTGGTGACAGAGTGAGACCCTGTCTCAAAAAAGAAAAAAGAAATTAGCCAGGTATGGCGGTGCATGCCTGTAGTCCAGCTCCTCGGAAGGCTGAGGTGGGAGAATCACTTGAGCCCAGCAGTTCGAGGGTGCAGTGAGCTATGATCACATAGCTGCACTCAGCCTGGGCAACAGAATGAGACCCTGTCTCTAAAAATAAAAAATCAAAAGTGACAGGACAAAATTCGGAGCAGCATTTACTATTGCATCTGAGAAGTCTCAGATGAGGCTGACTTTTTCCTTTGTGAGAAGTCAATCTTTTTTCCCTCCTTCCTCTCCCATATCTCACCCTAGATGATTATAAACGCTAGCTTTATTCTTCTAGTTAGAAAATTTTGCCAGAATATCTGTAGTCCCTTTGTCTTGGCATCATGTGATAAAATCTTTTCATCTGTATGCCCAGCTCAGAAAAGTTGCTCTCTACTGCCACCTCCGCCTCATCACATCTTTAATTATTGCTTCTGTTAAATTACCCTGGTTTCTGTTCCAGTCAATTATCTCTGTGTTGGGTCCCTTTTCATCTTTATATGTGTACTATGTTATTTCATTGTTTGTATTTGTTTATTTAAACAGGGTCTTGCTCTGTCACCCAGGCCAGAGTGCAGTGGTGCAATCATGGCTTACTGCAGCCTCAACCTCCTGGGCTCAAACGATCCTCCTGCCTCAGCCTCCCAAGTAGCTGAGACTACTTGTGTGCCACTGCACCTGGCCTGTTTTGATTTAGAATCTTTAAAACACAGCAGACCCCTTCAATAATTAGGAGAAACACAAGATAGAAATATAGATTTTATTACCTACAGGTTGGGGGGCACACGGCACGCCCAGAGGCTGCACACTGAGGTCAGGGAGATCAGACAGGGAAAGAGAATGAGGGATCCATGGGTCAACACCTTTATTGAGGTTCAGGACAGTGTCCAAACACACTTCTGGAGAGAAGTTTTCATTGGTAGATTTGAAAGAAACAAGCATGAGTTCCATGCTATGACTGAGAGAGGGTCACTGCAGCATGTCTCACAGTCCCTGCAAGGTGTAGCGCTCAGCAGGGCCAGTCAAGCAGGTGGGATCTGGCTGTCCCATAGGGAGGTGGTCACCAGGAAGCAGCTGTGTAAGAAGACGCCTGGATAGACCATACTGACGAACTGGGGAGAGGTGTAGAACTAAAAAGTGTGTCAAGCGTGATTGAGTCCTGCTTCTGATATGAGAAAGCTAAACGTATTTAAAATGGATGTTGTCAGGGCAACATAAAATCATAAGAATTCACTACGCTCATAATTTTTCCATCTTTATTTTTTCTGTATTGTGCGGAAAGTTTTTCTCAAGTTCATCCTTCACATTTATTGATACTATCTTCTGTAGAACCAATTCTGGTTTTTACATGAATATATATGGATTTTAATTATGAAATTTTTAGCACCCTAGAAGTTCTTCCTATTTCATTCATCTCCCTTTTCTTCCCTTTCTTTTATTTATCGCAGTTGCTTGCCTCTTTATTATTTTACTCTTTTTTCATAGAGGCTATATTTTCCTTTATTTATGATTACAAAGAGCTTTTTGAATTTTATTCTTCTGTTATTTTTTTCTAGATTCATATGTGCCCTATGATTCCATTAGAGTGCTCTCTCTGCCTGGATTTAGGGTACTTTTTCAAGGGTCCATGATATTTTTTAAATCTGTTTGCTCATCTTTAATAATGCTCAAGAGTTTGTCAATAAACTGGGTTTATGAATCTTCATTTTTTTCTACTGTCTGCCAACTCAAGTATATAATCTCCAATCATTAACTAGAGGCAGATAAGGATGGATGGTGGGGTTTGTAGATTTCCTTTGGTTTTACGCCTCAAGGATTTTGTGTTCTATCACTCTGCTATCTCAGAGCTACAATTAGGAGGAAAAGCCTTATTACATCAGGCTGCACTTTCCAAGAACCTACTAAAGTACCATCTCTCTTAGATTGTTTTTGTCTGAAACAAAAATGTAGTGCATTAAGAATTACAGTCTTCAACATGGGCTAATACTAAGGATTTCTATCAATGACCCAAGTCATGAGCACTTTAAAATACTTTTCAATTAAAAATGATGGGAAGTGTGATGGAAAGGTGATTGGGCTAGAAAGTCAACTGTGGTAAATAGTGTAGACTGGGTCATTCAACACCTGTTTCTGTTCACTTTTAGTTTGTCTTGCTGTAATATCAAAATCGGGAAAGATGAAAACTACCTTTCCCAGTCTCTATTGCAAATAGTTTCCTCTGAGGTCAACTTTCTGTTAAGCAGATGAACCCATGCAAGAATTCTGAGGTAGAAGAGAGCAGCAGAGGTGGAAGACATGAAGAGAAATGAAGTCTTCTGGCAAACACAGGGAAAGGGTGTTAGGTAGTTCTGCATCAGTTGTAGGAGAGCTTAGAGTTTCCAAAACATTTTGTCTTGGATTCTAAGCAGGACCCTTGGGGTTCTGCTAGTGCAGACTGGATATTTCTTCTGAATTTTTGGATCCTGGCTGTATAACATCTCTGCTTAATTCCCTGATGCACTGTTACTCATTTTTCTTCATATTTTATGGATTTTAACTTGTTTGAAGGCCGTGAAATGAGTTTATCTGTGTTAGTTAGCTACCTTGTGAGGAAGTTCCAACTCTCTTACTGACTGCCCATAGAGCCATTGGTGGAAGGACTCCAGAGGGCACATTTCTCATCTCAGCCCATGTAAATGGCACCTCCAAAGAACTGAGATACGATGATACTACTCTCCATCTCTACCACTCCTCATTCCACAAAAAACAAATAAAGCCAGATCCAAGAATACACACACCAGGGACCAATTACAACATGCGACCTAACAGAGAATGGTACACACTCCAAAAAAAAAAAAAATTCTATTTCTAATTTAATTTATTCTTCAAAAGTTTTCCATTAAAACAATACCAAATCCTCGATATATAGTGGATTATCATAGTGACTATTTGTTAACTCCAATGGCAGCTGCTATTTCCTTTGGATATGTTTCCCAGAGTAAATCAACACATACCAGGTATTTAGTAAGAAGCTCTTGACCTAGAAGAAATGTTTTTCTCACATTCCAATAAGCAGAAAACACTAGAATCTATTTGTCACTTGTCTAGATTATCAGTACACATTTATGTTCTTATCTCAGGACTACATCAATTCTATAGCTCCTGCCATGCAAAATTCAATCATCAGAGACGTTGATCCTATCATCCTCCTCCCGCCAGCGAAGGATATTTTGTTGGTCCGCTGCATTAGTGACATCACAAAGATGGGACCTGATGCTAGAAAAATCATCGGTACCTTAGATGCCCTGGTAAGACATATGCATGACAAAGGATGAAGACTGAATCCCGTAAAAATTGAGGAGGCCAATTTGTCTAGGGTATGTTCAAATATCACCTCCCAAGTTAAAGACAATTTGCTACACTGGGAACACCTACCATTAAAAAAATTATTGTGCTTAATTGGCCCATTAAATTTTAAAGAGAACACTTCCATATTTGAATGTATTGTTCTAACTCATTTATGAAGCAACCCTTTGGACTACAGGGCAAAATACCTTGCCCGTTAGCTTTTATGATTCAGTGAATTGAAAAGACCCTCCCCTCACTGTGTCTATAGTTTATTGGGAGGCTGTGGCAAATTCCTGTGGCAAATTCCAATAGGAAAATCACAGAGAATGCCCCTGAGTTTTGCAACAAAGCTCCACTCTCTTCAGCAAGCAGCTTTTCTTCTAAAAACCAGCTCTTGGCTTGCTGTTGGATCCTGGTTGAAAATGAACTAATCCAGGTTGCTATAAATGAAATGGGTGTTTTTTGTTGCACCAGACTGAAGGCATCATCAGGAGTGAGCAGAAGTAGACATAACAGCAGTAGAGACACATACTTACAGGAAGGTAGTTGTACAAAGGGAGGTATCATTTTCAGGGCCTTTAGCTTGGGGACAAGTATTGTTGGCATAGCACGAGGCAGTGGAGACACCAGGAGAGAAAACTTAACTTCTCTGACCTGGGAAATTAGAAAACTGATTTGGGAAAACTGTTGTTTAGAGTGGGAAAAACTTGGAACAGAAAAATCCAAGAAGAGATTCCAAAATATGCCTACCCACATCTTTGAGTGACTTAGGAACCTGCCTTCATAGAATAGACTCAAAGCAGTTTAGCTAATGACAAACTACCTAAACTGAGAACAGAGCCACCATCTAATAAAGTTTTCAATTCAAGTTCAAACAAGACAATTGCCTGCAAAATTAAAACAAGCATTGGAGAAAATGTTATAATGTCCAAAATGACCAAAGTAAAAAGAACCAGGAAAAGGGAACACATTCTCGAGAGAAAACAAAATCACCTGTGAATCACCCCAAGATGACTCAGATATTAAAACTAATAATTGATGATTTTGAAGTGGCTGTGATAACTATCTTTAGAGGGTACAATAAATATGTTCTCAATAAGTGAAATTTTAGGAAATCTCACCTTAGAAATAGAAATAACAACAATGAGCCAAATGGAAATTCTAAAATTGAAAAAATAAATTATCTGCAATAAGTAACTCTTCTTTTAAAAATCAATTCTTGGCTTGCTATTGGGTCCCAGTTAGGTCCTAGATGAATAAATGTAATAGCTGAATGGAGATGTCAGAGGAAAGAATAAGTGAACTTGAAGACAGAGCAATGAATACGACCCAGCACAATGTGAAGAATAGTGCCGTAGTTTGGATATCTGTCCCCTCGGAAACTCATGTTGAAACTTAATCTCCAATATGGCATATCTAAAGGTTGAATTTTCAAGAGGTGACTGTGTCATGTTGGCTCTGCCCTCGTGAATGGATTAATCCACTCAGGGATTAACGAGTTATCACGGGAGTGACATTACTGGCTTCATAAGAAAAGACAGACCTGACCTAGCTCACCTTCTCAACATGTGATGCCCTGTACCACTGTGGGACTCTACAGAGTCCTCACCAGCAAAAAGGCCCTCACCAGATACAGCCCCTCAACCTTGGATTTCTCAGTCTCCATAACTGAAAAAAATAAATTCCTTTTCTTTAAAATTACACCATTTTAGGTATTCTGTTATAAGCAACAGAAACAGACTAAGACAAACAGAAATAAAAGCTAAAAAATCAAAAGCATGAATAGAGTACCAGGGACTGACTTGTTAAATAATACAAAACAATGCAACATAAATTTAATTAGAGTACCAGAAGAACAGAAAGGTAATGGGGAAAAAGTAATGTATCTGAGGAAATACTGACTGAAAATGTCCCCATCTGATGAAAGACAGAAATTTAAAGACACAAGATGATCAACAAACACCTAACAGAATAAACATGAAGTCCATCATAATAAAAAATTTCCACGTCAAAGGGATGAGCAAATCTTGAAAGCAGAAAGAGAAAAATAACACATTAAATAAAGAAAAACAATTCAGTTAGTGGGGTTGTCTCATCAAAAGTCAAAGTGGCCAGAAGAGAGTCAAACAACATTTTTCAAGTGGTCAAAGAAGAGGCTGAACAACTCAAGAATTCTATAACTGGTGAACCTATACTTAAAGAATTAATGCAAAATAGAAATATTTTCAGATAAAAGATAAACTAAGGAAATCATTATAAAAGTTTCTAAAGAAAGTCTTCAGACTGAAGAAAATGATAGCAGATGGAAACTTGGATTCTCAGAAAGGAATGAAGATCACTGGAAACCATAAGTGAGTCACATTCCCTTACTCTTATTTGCCATTTAAAGTAGAGGTGTAGCGCAAACAACTGTAGCATCAAAAATATGAGTATATATAGACACATAGTGTTGTAAGGTTTCTATATCTTATAGGAGGTGGTAAAATATTAAAGTGGGCAGTAAAAGGCTAAAGTTATATGTACCATAATCTCTAGGACCATCACTATAATGCAAAGAAATATAGCTAAAAGTCAATAGGAAAATTAAATTGAAATTATGAAAGTATTCAAATAATCCAAACAAGGGAAGGGATAAGTAGAAAACAAATAATAAAATGATATCTTCATATCTAATCATTGGAATAATTACATTAAATGTTTTTAGTTTTTGGGTTTTTTTTCTATAGAATAATTACATTAAATGTTAAAGAACTGAATGATGCAACTAAATGAAGAAATTACTAGAATGCATGTTAAAAATCAAATAACATGTTGTCTACCAAAAATGTAGATTAGGTATAATTACAGATATACTGAAAGTAAATGGATAGAAAATGATACGCCATGCAAACATAAGCATGAGAAGCCTACAGGCCTCAATTAATATAACATAATACAAATTTAAAGACAAAAATATTACCAGAGGTAAAGACAGACAGTATGATAAAGTAGTCAAATCATCAGGAAGATGTGCAAGTTATGAATTTAACAAAGCTTCAAAGTACATGAATCAAAACTTGATCCAATTAAACAAAAAACAGATAATTCCACACTCCAAATTATATATTTTAACATAAGAGTCTGCCAACTTTTTTCCCAAAGGACCAAAGAGTAAATATTTCAGGCTTTGAACATATTCTTTTTGTGAGTGTGTGTGTGTGTGACCTTTTAAGAATGTAAAAATCATTCTTAATTTGACAGCCTGTGGGCCAGCAATTTATAGATGAGTTCAACAAAAGAATCAGCAAAGACAGAGAATGTTTGAACAACACTATCAGTAACCTAGAGTAAACTGATATTTATAGAGCTACCCAGCCACCCAACAACAGAATACATATTCTTTACAAGTACGTAAGCTACATTTACTAGAATGGTCCATATGCTTAGTAATTTAAGGTCTCAAATTTAAAGTTTCAAGTCACGTGTTCTGACCAAGATAGGATTGAATTAGAAATCAACAACAAAATACATAGGAAAATCCCAAATGTTTAGAAATTCAACATTTTGAAATAATTAATGGGTGAAACAAGAAATCACAAAGAATATCATTCAGTGATTAAATAAAATTGTCATGAAACGCAAAATGTTAAAATTTTTCAGGCGTAGACAAAATAATGCTTAGAGAGAAATTAAGGACCTCATAGGACATCTGGCTAAATGTCTTTTTTTTTAGATGCATGAATAAACTAACATCAAGAGATTTGCAGAGATTACCACAAGTGATTAATGGCAAAATCACTTCTTTTTCTTTATGCCTTGATCAAGTAGCTCAGTGCATGTTACAAGGTAGTAGCTCAGTAATTGCATATTGAATGTGAATAGATGACTTCTAGGTATCTGTGTAGAAGTAAACGCAAATGGATTAAAGTGTCGTTACAAAATATTATAGTTTACATACTAATTTAACTTTTAAAGTGATGCAATTATTTTAGCTTATTTTTTCAGAAGGAAACTACATCCTTAAAATGTTGTATACTTCAATAGCTGACTCTATAATTATTGTGACCAAGAGACAAAAGGGCTACAGTTTTTTTTTTTTTTAAATAAATTTTAGCTAAAATGTTCATAGTTTCCCAAAGAATGGGAACAAAAATTCTGCTTACCTCACTGGCTTCATTGGATTTTATTCCGTCTTCTGCCTATCGGAGTCACGTGACACACCCTGAGACTGTGACCTTTATATTGGTTCTAACCAGAAAAGGGAGAGCATCCATCTCCACAATCGCTACAGAGCTCCTAGTACGATTCACTGGGGCTGCCCCAGAGGAGTTAACCCAGACTTCAGGATTTCCTGACATGCAGAATAGTTTTTCTTTTTTGTTTTTTTTCTTTTTTTTGGGACAAAGTTTTACTCTTGTTGCCCAGGCTGGAGTGCAATGGCGTGAGCTCAGCTCATTGCAATCTCCGCCTCCTGGGTTCAAATGATTCTTCTGCCTCAGCCACCTGAGTAGCTGAGATTACAGGCGCCCGCCACCATACCCAGCTAATTTTTGTGTTTTTAGTAGAGACAGGGTTTCACCATGTTGGTCAGGCTGGTCTTGAACTCCTGACCTCAGGTGATCCACCCGCCTCAGCCTCCCAAAATACTGGGATTACAGGTATGAGCCACTGCACCCAGCCCCAGAATAGTTTTTCATGTGTTGATGCTCACCTCACACCCAGTTATGATTTACTAGACTGTAAACTTAGAAGAAACCAAAACTATAAAGAAATTTAAATCCATCTTCTTTTTCTCCATCTCTACCAGACTGCTTCACCCTAATCCTTTACCTTGTTTTGCCTGGGGCATTATAATTACTGTCTCCATTACTGCTGGAATGACCTTTCTAACGTGTGGAAGATAAGGCCCAATATTCTCCACATGGAATCCAAGGTTTCTTGTGACCAGATGTCTGCATTTGCTTTCTCACCAGTTTCTAGATTGCATTTTGCTTCCCAAAATTCCAAGCTATCATGCCTACATAGATGTGTACGCGTCTGTGCCTTTGCTTATGCTCTTCTTTCTTTGTGAATTGTCCTTCTCAGTTGTATTTGCTAAACTCCTATGTATACTTCAAAACTCAGGTTAGGCATCACCTCTCCTGGCCTCCTCAGGCTGAGCTCAGTGTCCTCAAATCTCTGTTTCCATTGCCCCTATATATTTGATTGTTTATCACATTTAATGTTTTTTTCTTTTTCTTGAGATGGAGTCTCACTCTGTCGGCAGGCTGGAGGGCAGTGGCTCCATCTCTGCTCACTGCAACTTCCGCTTCCCAGGTTCAAGTGATTCTCCTGCCTCAGCCTCCCGAGTAGCTGGGACTACAGGTGCCCACCACCATGCCCGGCTAATTTTTGTATTTTTAGTAGAGACGGGGTTTCACCATGTTGGCCAGGATGGTCTTGATCTCTTGACCTTGTGATCCACCCACCTCGGGCTCCCAAAGTACTGAGATTACAGGCATGAGCCACCACAGCTGGCTTAAATTTTTTTTTTTTTCATTTTGTCTCTCTGCCCCAAAGAAATTCTATGTGCTATATTCATTAATCCCTAGCATAGGATCTCACATAGACATTAGATAAACATTAAACTTACTAAAATCTCGCTAATTTTTAGATAAGGAGAATGCAATTTTTATGCATTGAGCACCCCCAATTTCCTCTGGCAAATTAAAGATGTTACTTAGTTTGTAACAATTCAGAAAACTTTAACTATGGTAGCTCCAATTGCACAATTGGTTGGCACCAGGTACTTACAAAACAGAAAGCTTCAATTCATGGAAACCTAGAGCACTGCATTACAATGATCACTGGTGCTGTTAATTGTAACTCTCTGGAATAGAAACACGTGACATTAGCCAATAACCATGGTCTCTTATGATGAGCTGCCTACTTCGTATAGAGATGGCTCTCGTTGTTATCAACGTCGTTTTCAAGCCTCCAAGTTGCTTGTACATGTTATGCGACTTACCTTATTCAGAATCCAGAAGGCCACAAATGTCTGGGAATGTTCATGACTGAGTGAATAAAACTGTTCTAAAGAATAATTTTTAAAATTCTTCTGGTTGGTACAAATAGGAAACACTGTTTAGTTGCAATCACCAAATTAAGGTAGACAAATCTATGGAGGAAAAAATGTGCATTATTGACATCTCTGAGCTGAGAAACATTTTTCAGTCACACTGTACAGCCCATCCAGGAATTACTGAGCTCCAAATATAGATGATGACTAAGATATATAGAATCTCCTCGACAGGGCTTGCTTAAGCCTGAGCACTTTCCCCAGGGCTGCTGCATATTGTACTTGCACATCTCAGATTTGGTCAAAACCAGGCCTCTATCAGAACGGCGGCCAAGAACTGTTGGCTCTTCTGATCCCTGAATACTGGTTGTCTACACATGTGGGAGATATTCTCCTCTCTTTTTAGCATCCTTTCTTCTGTCATCACACTTCAAGGGCTTTACTCAAATTTAACACATGGCAAATGTGTGAATGCTTCAGATGCTGAATGAATTAAAAATGTAAGTGATTCTTTAACTAGATCATGGGTAACCCCCCAAAAGGCCAAGGATGGGGGAAATGAAATAATTCGACAATGAGACTTTCTAGCACACAGTTGAATCCCCTGTGCAGAGTATGCTTTTTTAATGCAATCTCTAGCATAACTTCTCAGGTATTAACTCTGGAAATATTTGTTTGTTCAAAGTTTCTCATCATAAACAGGAAGGCAGAGATTTGCAGAGCTTTTGTTCATGCTTTATTTTCTTCATGAGTAACTAATTAGTAGCTTAGAAGATTACCAGAAAGATTTTAGAAAAATGACACAATGGCATTGGTTAGTATTTATGCTTTAAGTTTTGACCATTTAAAGCAGAAAAATAGGGAACTGGGCAATTGGCCCAGCCATCTATAACAGTCACAAGAAGAAGTTGACTGACAAGAGAACAAGGCACATACTGTTTTTTTCCTGGCAAATATGAACAACAAGCATAGACACTCGAAAAATATTCGATGCAGATCTCAAAAAAGGAAGGAAATCCAGAGGAGAAGATGGAGGTAGCAAAAGAGTTTATGCATGTGCTATCCATTATTGGGCTGATCCTCAGCCAAAACCCCAACAGAGATTCAAAATTAAATTTCCAATTAATTTTGGCCGGATTTTTTTTGGTCTTTTTGAGTAAAAGAGTTCTCAGAGGATCCCCTTCTCTTGGTCCTTTGAGAATAAAATGACCTTTCCAACAACCAAATGGCTTTCCTCTAATCCAAACATTAGAATAATTTATAGAAAAAGGATAATGTTGAGGCTCTTATTAGACTAACGTTATCTCTACTTGTTTGGTTGCCATATAAAACGTTCATACTCCAGAAACATCACCTCAAGCATTCTTTGCCATAAACAGAAAGCAAAACAGAAATATTAAAAAGAAAATTAGTGTAGCGCTTTCAAAGAATTAAGATGCGATTTGGTAGCAGAGTAATTTTCTAATTATCATCAGTTGTCTTTTCTGCACCATGCCCTTGACACAGTCAATGGACTATCCTATAGAAATAACAAAAGGCTAAATTGCCAAATACCATCATACATACTGTACTTGAGTCTGATCTCTGGGCCTGACAGGAGACATATTATTGTCAGCAATTACCCAGAGGGTAAAATAATTTCTCTCAGACCTTCTCTTGTTCTATAAGACAGCCAGGCTTAAGACTTGAATTGTGCTACCTACAGAGGGAAGCCCAAACCTCAAGGTAAGAGCTTTGCATATGCAGTTAACAAGCCCTGTAGTCAGAAGAAGTAAGAAGTTGGAGGATACTAGTTTCCTGTGGCAGATAACAGATTACCACAAACTGAGTGGCTTAAAACAACAAAGTAATTGTCTCACAGGTCTGGAGGCCCAAAGTCCAAAAGCGAGGTGTCACCAGAGCCATGGCCCCTCCTGAGATCCTAGGGGAAAACCCACTCCTTTTTTCCTCTCGTTCCTGGTGGCCACATCACTACAATCTCTGCCTCCATGGTCACATGCCCTCTTCCTCTTGTGTGTGTGTGGGGGTCTCCCTCTGTCCCTTTCTTATAAAGACACTTGTGATTGGATGTAGGCCCCAGCTGGAGAATTAAGGATAATCTTCCCATGTTAAGATCTTTAACTTGCCTGTAATCCCAGCACTTTGGGAGGCCAAGGTGGGTGGATCACGAGGTCAGGAGTTCAAGATCAGCCTGGCCAAGATGATAAAACCCCGTCTCTACTAGTAATACAAAAATTAGCCGGCATGGTGGCAAATGCCTGTAATCCCAGCTACTTGGGAAGCTGAGGCAGAGAACTGCTTGAACCCGGGAGGTGGAGGTTGCAGTGAGCAGAGATCGCGCCACTGCACTCCAGCCTGAGCGACAGAGCAAGACTGTCTCAAAAAAAAAAAAAGGGGGGGGGATCTTTAACTTGAATTTCTCTCCTTATAGGGTCACATTTATAGGTTCCAGGGATTAGGACCTGTTATCTTGGGTGGCCATTATTCAGCCTACTACAGAGGGTAAGACAGTCTCTTTTATTTAGTTCAATCTTCTCTTTTTACACCCGATGCTGCAGTCTGCTCAGGCTGCCATACGAAAATACCATAGATTGAGTGATTATTGTCTCAGAGTTCTGGAGGCTGGGACTGAAATCATGGTGCCAGCAAGGTAAGGTTCTAGAGAGGACTCTCTCCCTGGCTGGAAGACAGCATCTTTGCTGTCTTGCTATACACACAGTCTCTTCTTTGTGCACTCGGCGGGAGAGAAAGAAGGAGCTCTCTGGTGTCTCTGCTTATAAGGGTACTAATCCTATCAGGAGACCCCACCCTCGTGAACTCATCTAATCTTAATCACCTCCCGAAGGCCCCACCTTCAAACACCATTATATTAGGGGTTAGAGCTTCAACACATGGATTTGGGAGGGACACAAACATTTTTTCCGTAACACCTAGCAATGTGCTCAAACTTAATCTAAAAGTAGCTACAAACCTCAAGAAGGAAAATAACCCAGGCCTCCAGAATCATCCTAGTGTCTCTGGGTACCAGTTCCACCAACCACGCAGCTAGCTTAGCGAAGAGCAGCAATTCAACTCATGAAGAGCAGATGTGTTCCTCTTTCCATGGTGAAGATGGTGCTGCAGGCTTGCAGGCACTGGGGTAAGAATATAATACACACTCTACAGAGACAAGAAGTTTGTGCCACTAAGTTTTTGGCCCCAAACCTCCCAGTATCTCATTTTTTTTCAGCTAATAACAGAACTGTAATTTTAAAAAGTATAAATATCTTTAAAGTGACCTCATTTTGTAACATTCATGTCATAGTAATTCTTGAGACCCAGAAGTTTCATAACTTTCCTAAGAATTCCAGACCATATGTTATACATTTCTCTCTGCAGTTTTAAATTCTGGATATACATCTGGCCCTAATCTGAAAACATCATGTAATCATTCTTCAGAGCAATAAATTCTATGACAAACTAAAGAATGCAAAACCATAATCTAACATTAAAGCATACAGTTTTCATTTCTAAATAATTTAGCTACTTATCCTCAGAAATCAGTCATGCAACCACTACATCCAGCTCCATGTTTTCTGAACAAAGAGATTCAGAAATACCAGTCCTTCTTATACTTTTCTATGGTTTATGAAAAGGAAATGGGAAATGTTTATATTGGGCAGCTTCTATGATCACTAAAGAGCAACATCATGAGTGTCAGAGAAAGACAGAGACAGAGAGGTGAATATGTTGGAAAGGCTTGGAACAAATCAGAAAGACGATCTCTGGAGCTGGATGGCTCTGCAGCTGAAGCTTTATACTCTTTGCAAATTTATTTTTTACTATTAAAGGAGAAATTTCCCCCCAATAAATTGCCCAATTCCTTTTGTGATCACTTATGCCATCTTTTGTTTTTAAGAAAATGAAAGCAATGTGCATAATTTAAAAATAAGTAATAAACAAGAGAGTAAAATCTCTAGTGCTCTTTGTTTTCTTTAAAATAGACCACATTTTGCATGACATAAACACACCATCAACCAACCTCTTTACTTTTATGTACATGGGGTCTTTTCTTTGTTCCTAAATTGATTGTTTATTGCTAAAAGTGACAAAGATGGAATTTGAGGATGTGCTTTCCCTTTCTATAAAGAGCATAGATTATGATGAGTGGAAAGAAAATAATTTGTAAATCTGACATCCATAACACTGCAAATTTTAGACAAATATCTGAAATATTCAAATACACAGAAACAAACAGTTGTTGTTGTTGGTGTTTTAAGAAGAACCCCATGAGAACTGCTGCTAGGCTTTCTGTATCTTGACCTTAAGTGTTCTTTCAAGGGCTTTGTTGGGGAGATATTCTGATATGTCACATTTAGAAGTAAGCCTACGTAGAATTGACTTGATGAATCATTGAGGGTAGCTCTCAACCTGAGAGCTCCCTCACCCTTTCCCATCACCCTTTCCAACCTGACTGTTTGCAATTAACGTCTCTTTCCCCAGGTAACTACACATGGTGATTTAGACTACCTGGCCAGCCCATAGAAACCCATTTTACCCAAACTGCCGCTGACATGGTCCTGACCAAGAGCAATGGCTCCTGTAGCTGTGGCTTCAGCAATGTGGGAGCAGCCAGAAAAGCCCACTTGTGCTGTCCAATGACTCATAAATCAAGGATTCATGTACCAGAGACCTGCATGTCCAAGCTGTCTCTTTGTTGACATGCATATTTAGCTGCTGAAAACCCTAAAGTTTTCATAAACACCAAGTTCTCTCAGAACAAGAAGGGTAAAAAAAAAGTCTCAAGGAGAACTAGTATTTTTCTATTATTAGAAATTTTAAAAAAAGAAAAATTGGTTTCAATTCATCATATTCTTAATCACATTATTTAAAAATAAAAGAGCTGTGTTCTGAAAATAATAACCATTAAATAAGTTTGTCAGCTAAATTGTATCTGAACGATAATTGGTCTTTCTAGACCACAGTAACTCAGAGATCTGTGCGTAAACAAAGCTTCCTGAAGTGACAGGAGTATTTGCTGATACCCAACTACCCAGCATGGAAACGTTCTAAAGGCAAATGCGTGCCATGGAAATAGCTGCAAATTGGCACGGGACCTCTCTTGTCAGCCTGCCTGTGCTGTGGTTTTATGATTACTATTGCCTGTATCATCAATTTGTATTTACTATGTTCCACTCTTAAGTGAAAACACAGTTTACTGCATAAACCACAAAAGCCTCTTGTTATTCTTCTCAGTTGGGCATTAATAATGCATCCTGATGTCCTGCTCATAAATGCAAGTGCATTTACAAACTGCACATTAACCACTGAGGCCCCCCCCAGAGCCCGAGGCCCTCTCACAGGCATCAGAGGGAAGAGAGAGGGAGCATCCCCCAGGCCTCAGCCCAGCACCTGCTGCAAGGCCTGCCGACGGCCCAGCCCTTCCTGATTCCTCCATCTGCCTGTGGAGACTTTTCAACTTTGGATCTAATCAGTTTTCCTCTCTCAAGCAAGGAGTAATTGTTTTAATAATTATTTTCAGAATTTGATTGATTGTATTTCTGCCATGGAAAGCCAAGGCCAAGTAAAACACCCCAGGCACATAAAACTTTTTCCTTGGAGCATCCTTTTCACTATTTCAAGACAATCATAATAATTGTCCATGCCCTTTCCCCACAAATAACTGATTCAAAATAATATTCTTTTGCCAGGCTCAACTTAGGTGATTTGAGGAAAAGCGAAGCAGCACCCTCCAGGAGACCCACCCCTGTCTCCCTGTGAGTGCAGTGGATCTGCAAGACCCAAGCTGGACGCTAAGCCACCCAGCACCTCCTGGTGGCATTCCTGCCTGTTTCCACCCTGCCATGCTGTGGCCCTTTGTTCATGAGTGTTACCCTTCCTTCCTCCCTTCCCTTCTCTTCTCCTTCCTCCCTTCCCTTCCCCTTCCTTCCCTTCCTTTCCTGCTTTCCTTCTCTCTCTCTCTCTCCCTCCCTCCCTCTCAGCCTCCCTCCTTCCTTCCCTCCTGTGTCCTGTTGGAATCGAGGGCTTTGGTGTCACGTAGGCTTGGGTTTGAGGCCAGCTCTCTCATTTGCAAGTTACGTGACTGACCCCCCAACAAGTTTATCCAGACTTCCAGCAAGCCTGAAGAAATACCTCCTTTGCAAAATTTCTGTGAAAATTAAATAAAATTGCATGTGTGAAAGTACCTAGCACAGCCTGGCACATAAACACAATCCTTTCCTCCAGCTCCTGCTCACCTCTCTCTCTTCCTGGGTCTAGTTCGCCACTATTCGACTACGCCATCTGACTTGATCTGAGAAGTTTGATGCCAGGTCTCAGTAATATTTAACCATGCAGTGAATTACTATAATTTTATGTTGTTTCACCACCCATTTCTAGGCCTGCCGTAAGTTGTTTGAAATCCAGTCATATCCAGTTATTATATCTTTAGCTTCTTTAAAACTTCCCCTTCCCATGCAATGCAGACAGCTGGTTCCTCATCTCACCAACCCCAGCATCTCTCACAGCCACTGACCACGATGAAACCTGACTAAGCCCAGAGTCAGGTAAGAAAGGTCCCCATCATGTGTGTTTTGTTTAAGCCAGCCAACCACCGCTCCCCAAGGGAAGCCCTGATGGATAACGCCCACCAGCCTCACTAAAGGCCCAGTCCTGCAGGTCCTCTCCCTGTGGGACTTCCCTCCTGCTGGTTGGGCTCCCTACTGTCTGCAGACTTCCTGGCGGCCTGGTGGGCAGCCCACTTGCCACTGGGGTCTCCAGGTAATGACCTGCTTCTGTTTACCAGGTGCTGTGCCATGCTGCCTCCTCTGTGTCTGGCCTGACCCACACACTGGCCTAACGCTGGGAGCCCTCCAGGCCAACTAGAGGAAATTACAGCAGCAACTCTGGTTCTTATGAGGATTGCTTTCTCCACATTAATCCGTAATAACAATAATTATGGCTGGGAGGAGGAGCCACTGGCAGGGTCTGGTGTGGAGGAGGAAGTGGGGTCCCAATCGGGTTCCATGGGTTCTCCCACCTCCAGCAGCAGGAGGAGGCTGATGCCCAAGACAGTCAAAGCCTCCCACAATTAAATATCCCACACTATTTTCTGGTTGTTAAAAAAAAAATACATGGCTTCTTAGATTATTTTAGATACGTATGTTAAGAATTGTGTACAAATTCAACCAATAAAACCAATAAAACCTCAACCAATAAAACCTCAATTATGATAACAATAGTAAATCACACTCATATCCCTACCATTCACTTCAAAGACTGCCATGCCTTCATCAACGCCCAGGCTAGATTTATTCACTTTAACCCACCTATTCCTTTAAAAATCCAGGTGAATAAGAAATCCATGTGGTCTCCCACATTCACTCAAAAGTATTCATCCAGTAAAATTCAAGAAATAATCCAGTTAGCTGTGAATTTTCACCAAATTTCTTGGTACTCGAATAGTTAAACTCCATACTGGCAATGGCGTTAGATTTTTAGAATTATCTAGATGCACTCATCATATGGAAATGCTTTTTATGACCATTAAGTTTACATAAGCTAAATGGGATGTGCTCTTAATAGCAAAAGAAGAACCTTCCCTTTCACTGGTCTTGCTCAGCTATCAATAAGCACGTTTCCCCTACTAACTAATTTATAGAATCTCAACAATGGGGAGAAACCTGGAGACCATTTACCCATGTACCAACTCAAAGCAGAAATTCACCTTCCCAGCCCATCCCCCCAGTATGCTAATCACTAAGAAAGAATATGATCTTTAGTTGTCTTGTTTTCTTGTGTTTCTCTAAATAATAAAATGCCCAAGTGTAGAGAAGTAAGTCTAAGACGATCTCAATAAATTATGCATGGATATGAAAGTGGTAACTAAGTTTCATCATGAACAAGTTTTAGAAGGAATATTACCTGAAAGTTATATAAGAAATATTCACTTGGCTTCTATTTTAAATAGAGTATATTTTAAGAAACATAGGAGCAATGATGCTAATACTACATGGTTTGTTCCTCAAGGAGTTTATAATCTAGTAGAGTCTATTTACAGAAGATATTTACAAAAACATATTGCAAGCTAAAATGTAAATGCCATCAGAAAAATAAAAGTGATCTGCGTGTTTAGAGCAGAGAAAATATACTTCCTACTGAATAAATGGGTTTAAATTGTTAATAAAATTTTTAAAGTATTAAGAGTTATGTTTCTTCATTAAATACTTCCCAAAACACATGAATCACTGGAGTCTATTACAGACCTCACACACAGTAAGTGCGGAATAAATCTTTGTTCCATGAACCAATGGGAAAAATTAGAAATAACAGACATTATTCTAAAGGTGAATTTTTACCTGAAATATAGTATGATCCTTTATCCTGAAAAAGACAACCTCAACAACCATGGAGATGGCCACATTTTCCTATGGAGATAGATTAAAAATGATCAAGATCCTTTAGAGCTGATCCTGTAATGTTCTTACCCTTCTCAAGCACAACTTCAGTTCATATAGAAGAATAAACATCTAGAGTTCATCTCCTTGAGACTTTTTAAATATTGAAAAAGAATATATAGAAAGAGCGAACATAGATAAATCATCAAAGTGGGCTAAGGAAGGTTGTTTTCACTTTGTTAGTATTGCTTGCTCTAACTACACAGAGAGTGGTACAGGCGGAAGACTTTCACAGCATCAGGCAGTGATCTGTGGGTATAATGAGCGTCCTCTCTGCAGCTGCTCAGCCTCGCTCCAGATTGTCACTAAAAGTTACTTGATTTACATAATTTTTTTTTGGTCCTCACAGGAGTAGACCTTGAGACAAGGATTTGAGCTCAGGTAGTTTATTGGGGAGGTGAAGGAAACATCACAGTGGGAGCAGGGCCATGAGACAAGGGAGTGAAGACAGCCAGTGCATGTAGCCTCATTAGACCAGTAGGTGCTGAGGCCCCAGAAAGTTCCAGGAGCCACGGCAGAGCATGTGCCCAGAGGCCTCACCTTGCAACCAAGCGATGAAGTACTGAAGGGATTTATCCTCCACCTGTCTCATTGGCTGAGAACGACTCCCAGGGGATATTAATTCCCTCCCCCACACATCAAAGTAACCCCATTGCTGCTCTGTTGCATGGGCCAACACTGTGGGTTTTGGTGGCCAGAAAACAAGCCCATAGATAAAGGAATGCAGGAGTTGACACTAAGTCAGGCCAGGGCATGGCAGCAGTAAGCAAGGAGACACGTGTGGGCACCACAACACCTGTTCCACTTTGAATGTGTGACTTGGCCACGGCAAGCATTTTAAAAGCCATCATGCTTGAGGTCTGAGAGGGCACAGAGAAGCCTCCTCCAAAGCCCCACTGTGGAACTTACTGTCTTCTGTTGCACAGCATTGGTAATAAGCTAACTGGTCCACTCTACTCTTTTCCTACTCTTATCATTCTAGAAAAAAAGAACACACACACACCAATCCTAGAGTCAAGCCTGAAGGAATGCAGCCTCACTGGAATCACAGAAGTGAGCTCTGATGTGCCATGATTCTCCTATAGCAGTTTCCCCAGACCAACTGCAGAGAGAAAGGAAACTGGGTGCTCTGGCCACACTGCCAACAGGATGCAGGCAACCAACGACATCTTTCTCATTTGACGTCAGTTATTTAAGAAAAATTATCAAAAGTTTACACCAACAAAGCTGAAAACATTACTGGGAGTTCTAAAATACGTGAATATATCTGAAGCCTGTGATGGCTTTCTGTTGACCATCCACAGACTTAAAGAGGAAGCTCTCCCTTGAATATCAAGCAGCCGTCCTCAGCTCCTCCCGAGCATCCTGCACACAGCCCGCCTTCCAAAGCATCACTTCCATGACCCTGCCTCTGTCAAACTAGCAAGTACATCCCTAAGAAGTCAGTGGAGAATGACCCTTCTAGTCACATTTTTAATAATTGTACTCTTCTGCACACGGGCCCAAGCAATGGAACTTGACTCACTAAATCTAAAGGAGAAATCGTTTCCATCTAGACTCGGGAGTTCTGAAAAACATTTCATTTTCAGGGTTATCACTTTTTGAACTTCTGAAAGAAAACACATTCTCTACAGTCTACCTACATTTCCATCAGGACTGCCTCTGTGAGACTGTCAGCGTCTAGGGTATGAGGACACTATGTGGCCAACAGACACACACACAGTTGGAATCTCTTGAAAATACTATAAATAGACAAAATCAGTTTTTTCTTATGTAGGTTTAGGCATGCTTTCTAATGTATATATTTCGATTGTTTCTTCCTCAGTTCATCTACCATATACTTACTGTCCTACCTCCTTTGAGTGCTCATTGCCGTGGTAAACGTGAGGTATGCAACAGTGAGCATAACAGTCTCTAGCGCTGCATAACTCATTGCACAAACAGTGTCAGAATTGTCGTGACAAAAATCAAATACAGAATTGAACAGAATGCTGCCATCTGCATCTGTTTAATTTTGGCACTCCATGCCCTTCAGTGGCTACATAACATACTGTCCTGTGATGAAGACCAAGTCCTTTACATGGCCTGGGAACCCCAGCTGGTCTTTCTTTACAGTAGCTACTAAGAACTTTTTTCTCAAAAAGCACGATTAAGAATCAATTTTAGGGCCAGGCACAGTGTCTCATGCCTGTAATTCCAGCACTTTGGGAGGCTGAAGCAGGTGGATCACTCAAGGCCAGGAGTTCAAGACTATCCTGGCTAGCATGGTGGAAACCCATCTCCACTAAACATACAAAAATTAGCTGGGCATGGTGGTGTAATTCCAGCTACTCAGGAGGCTAAGGCAGGGGAATCGCTTGAACCCGGGAGGTGGAGGTTGCAGTGAGCTGAGATCGCGCCACTGTACTCCAGCCTGGGTGACAGAGCAAGACTCCATAAAACAAAATAAAATAAAATATAAATTTTAGGAAAGTTTTAAGAACATATTCCACTGAAGAAGAGATCTATACAGTGGAAATCTTTAATTTCTTTCACTACACATTCCACAGTTCTTTTGTATACATAGCAAATAGGATATCCTACGTGGTTTTTCTAGAGAAATATGCAAAGACGTGTTTCAGATACGCAAATTAATTCCATTAGAAACCCTAAAATAGTGGTCCCTTTAGTTCTTAGAAAAGCATGGAAGTAAAACATAGACATGAATTCAACAAGATGGAAAAACTTCCTAAGGTTTAAATACAGCAAATGCAAATGTACACTTTGGGCTTAGGTTTGAATTTGTAAAAACTGCAAGATTCTAAAAATATTTCAGAAAAAAATGTCCTATCCTCATGCCAGTTGTCCAGCATACTTGATGCCAACCAACATCTGATAATCATAGGTAGAATATATTTTAACATATATAGGCAGAGATATTATTATTTATATATTTTTTTCAGTTATGTGTGTTTCTGTAGGTCATTTAGAAAGATTTTCTTTTCTCAGGTTTTCTCAGGGTAAGATAAACACTTTCACAATGAACTCCCACATATACTGCAGCAGAACACTCTAGAAGTCTAGAATATATTTTAACATATATAGGTAGAGATATTATTATTATTTATATATTTTTTCAGTTATGTGTGTTTCTCTAGGTCATTTAGAAAGATTTTCTTTTCTCAGGTTTTCTCAGGGTAAGATAAACACTTCCACAATCAACTCCCACATGTACTGCAGCAAAACACTCTAGAAGTCTACAGTTTGGTCTCAAAACAATGCTACTTCCTCTTATTGTCCCAGAGTGGAATCTGAAAACGAAAATACATTTTGTAACTTAATTCAGTATCACTATGGAAAAACAGCAGAGTGCAATTAAGACTCAGTGTATCAGGCCTTCCAATCTACATAATTCTAGCTTTCTATTTGCTTCTCATAATACTCAACACTTAGACATACTATACTTTTATTTCTAATCTCCATTTGTTTAAATAACACAAAAGCTTCTTCAAATTTCAACTATTATTTATATAGAGTCCTTTGGAAGATTTATTCTTCTTTTTAATTTAGAAGTTTAGAAGAGAGGGTCTTGGGAACCTGAAGACCAACTTCACTTGCCTGAGCAGTGGGCCACACCAGGATAGAGGAGGTTACAATTCAAGCCATTTCCAGTCCATCCTTGAAAACGATTCAGTACGCACAGAATGCATAGGCTCAAAGCTAAGTCCCTTTCAACCACTGAGATTACATATTCTACTCTTTAAAGTAACATAATCATTATGCAAGTCTACAATCATTTGATCCTACAAAAAATTATGATTACAGGCATACGTTGGAGATACTACAGTTGAGTTCCAGACCACAACAATAAAATTAATGTCAAAATAAAACAAGTCACATAAATTTTTTGGTTTCCCAGTGCACATAAAAGTTAGGTTTGCAAACACCACATGTTCTCACACATAGGTGGGAACTGAACACTTGGACACAGGAAGGGGAACGTCACACACCGGGGCCTGTCGTGGGGTGGGGGGGATAGCATTAGAGATATACCTAATGTAAATGACGAGTTAATGGGTGCAGCACACCAACATGGCACATGTATACATATGTAAAAAACCTGCACGTTGTGCACATGTACCCTAGAACTTAAAAGTATAATAAAAAAAGAGAAAAGTTAGCTTTGCATTATACTATTTTGTGCAGTAGCATTATGTCTAAAAGTATACAGACCTTAATTTAAAAATATTTAATTGCTAAAAAATGCTAAAGATCACCTGATCTTTTAGTGAGTCCTAATCTTTTGCTTGTGGACAGCCTTGTCTCGATGTTGATGGCTCCTGACTCATCAGGGTAGTAGTAGATGAAAGTCCTGCTGGCTGTGGTGATTTGTTAAAATTAGACAACAATGAAGTTTGCTACATCGATTGACTCTGCCTTTCATGAAAGATTTATCTGTGGCATGTAATGCTGCTTGATAATATTTTACCTGCAGTGGAACTTCTTTCAAAATCGGAGACAGTCCTCTCAAACCCTACTGCTGCTTTATCAACTAGGCTGATGTAATATTCTTTACTTTCATTTCAAAAATGTTCACGTTCAGTCTTCACCAAGAGTAGATTCCATCTCAAGAAACCACTTTCTTTGCTCATCCATAAGAAACAATTCCTCATCTGTTCAAGTTTGATGATGAGATTGCAGCAATTTAGTTACATCTTCAAGCTCCACTTGTGATTCTACTTCTCTTTCCATAGTCAACACATCTGTAGTTACTTCCTCCACTGAAGTCTTGAACCCCTCAAAGTCATCCATGAAGGTTGGAATCAACTAACTCCTGTTAATGCTGGTAATCTGACCTCCTCCTATGAATCATGAATGTTCTTAATGGCATCTAGAATGCTGAGTCCCTTCCAGAAGGACTTCAATTTACTTTACCCAGACCCATCAGAGGAATCACTGTCTATGGCAGCCATAGTCTTACAAAATGTATTTTTGAAATAATAAGACTAGAAATTTGAAATTACTCCTTCATCCATGGGCTGAAGAAAGGATACTGTGTTAGCAGGCATTAAAAACATTAATCTCTATTTATATCTCCATCAGAGCTCTTGGGTGACCAGGTGCATTGTCAATGAGCACTAATTTTTTAATTTTAATTTCCAGGATACATGCGCAGGACATGCAGGTTTGTTGCATAGATAAACATGTGCCATGGTGGTTTGCTGCACCTATCAACCCATCACCTAGGTATTAAGCCCTACAAGCATTAGCTATTTATCCTGATGCTTTCCCTCCTCCCCTCATCCCCCCACAGGCCCCATTGTGTGTTGTCTTCCTCCCTGTGTCCATGCGTTTTCATTGTTCAGCTCCCACTTGTAAGTGAGAACATGTGGTGTTTGGTTTTCTGTTCCTGTGTCAGTATGCTAAGAATAATGGCTTCCAGTTCCATCCATGCCCCTGCAAAGGAAATGATCTTATTCCTTTTTAGGGCTGAATAGTATTCCATGTTGTATATTTACCACATTTTCTTTATCCAGTCTATCATTGATGGGCATTTGGGTTGATTTCATGTCTTTGTATTGTGAATAGTAATGAGCACTAATAGTTTGAACTTTTTTTTCTGAGCAGTAGTCTCAACAATGGGCTCAAAATGCTAACTATGTGTAAACAGATGTGCTATCATCCAGGCTTTGTTGTTCTATTTCTAAAGCACAGGCAGAGTAGATTTAGCATAACTCCTAAGAGCCCTAGGATTTTTAGAATAGTAAATAACCATTGGCTTCAACTTCAAAGTCACCAGATGCATCAGTCCCTAACAAGATTCAGCCTGTCCTTTGAAGCTTTGAAGCCATGCGTTGACTTTTCTCTAGCTATGAAAGTCCTAGATGTGATCTTCTTCCAAGAGAAGGCTGTTTTGTCTACCTTGTTCAGTGTAGCGACCTTCATCAATGGACTTAGCTAGATCTTCTGGATAATTTGCTGCAGCTTCTCCATCAGCACTTGCTGCTTCACCTTGTGTTTCTAATATTATGGGGATGGCTTCTTTCCTTAAAATTCATACCAATCTCTGTTAGCTTGAAATTTTTCTTCTGCAGCTTCCTCCCCTCTCTCAGCCTTCACAGAATTAAAGAGTTAGGGCCTTGCTCCAGGTTAAGCTTTGGCTTAAGAGAATGTTGTGGTTGGCTTGATCTTCTATACAGACCACTCAAACTTCTCCATATCAGCAATAGGCTGTTTCACTTTTTTTATTATTATTATTCGTGCGTTCACTGGAGTAGCACTTTTAATTTCCTTCAAGAACTTTTCTTTTGCATTTATAACTTAGCTAACTGGTACAAGACACCTTTTTTCCAGCCTATCTCAGCTTTTGTTTGACGTGCCCTTCTTACTAAGCTTAATCATTTCTAGCTGTTGATTGAAAGTGAGAGATGTGTGTGATGATTCCTTTCACTTGAACACTTAGAGGCCATCGTAGGGTTATTAATTGGTCTAATTTCAATATTGTGTGTCTCAGGGAATAGGGAGTCCCAAGGAGAGGGAGAGAGATATGGGGAACTGTTGATGAGTGGATCAGTCAGAATACATATAATATTAATTACTTTCTCTATCTCATATGGGCACGGTTAATGGAACCTCGAAAAAATCACAATACTAACATCAAAGATCACTGATCACAGGTCAACATAACAGATATAGTAATAATAAAAATGTTGAAGATATTTTGAGAATTAGCAAAATGTGACACAGAGACAAAGTGAACACATGCTGTTGGAAAAATGGCACCAATAGATTGCTCAACACAGGGTTGTCACAAACTTTCAATTCACAAAACACCATATCTGTGAAGCACAACAAAACAAAGCATGCCTGTATTACACTATCAGTTGAAAAGAAAATGTGGTAGCATCAATGGGAAATTATTACTTAATAATCATAGTGTGTTAAAGAGAAGTGAGGCAATGCGAAGAATGCGTTAGTCTAGGAAAAAAATTATCTTTAAATCTCTCATCATTTTCCACCGGGTGTCTTGTTGAAAAGCAATTGTAAACTTGAGATATGCACTGATTTCAGCAGCCTTCCCAGTGGTTGTGGCCTGAACCCATTAATCAGCTAAAAGCTGAATGTAACTTTTATATTTAAAGTTGAACTTTCCAAACAGCAGTGGGTATCAGAGGCCAGGAGCCCAGAAGCTTTCTGTGTTGAGGTTTTGCCTTTCATTTTTCACTCTCCAGGTCCCTGTGACTTTGGTGGGGTCACACCCACTAGGCCACCCTCCATCTTCTGCCTTCTAATCCCTTGATGTTTGCACAGAAAGCAGTCTACACTGCCACTTTTTCAACACTCCTTGTGGTTTGCTGTGTCAACAGAGTATTTCTGATGCTGCATTGGATTAACTGACCAATTTGTTCTTCCATCTTTTTATGCCATTCCCTTGAGACAAACCACACTGATAGAAGTGGTGTTTGTTCTCTCAGGTGTTTGCATATGCATGTACATGTGCCGTATTTCTCATGAAAATACCACAAAATGTGTTTAAACTATTATTACTTCTTTGACAATAAAAAAACTATGTTTACATGAGAGAATTTTAAAACTGGAAGGAATCAAGAAATTATCTAACCCGAAATCAGCCTGATGAGAAAACTTAGGTCCAGAGAAGGGAAATAACTTGGTTCCGAGTCAATAAGAACTAAGAAAGTGTCCATTGGCCAAAGTTGCTGTCTTCATTTCCTTCTGAATTTCCTACTGCTTCCCTTCTTCTCAGTCTTCACTGTGGATTCATCTCTAAGCATTAGTGCTTCCACAGTTCCATCCCCCAGCCTTCTCCCATCCTGACGTGATCCTCAAGCAGTAAGCATCATGCTAATGACTTCCATGATCTCATCTACATGGATGAATCTCAAATATTCCAGTTAAAGCTTCTTTCACCTTCACCACACCTCTACCACCAATGACATATTGGAGGTCTCCTTCTGAACCCACCTCACTCCTCAATGTGCCCAGCGTACCCCATCCTAGTGGGTTCCTCCTCCCATATTTCCTACCTCAGCAAATTACTCCACTATTCTAGCCATTCTCCCAAAGCAAAGGTAATATGTTGAATCACCTTCTACACACACACACACGCACACACATGCACCAATCTATTAACTACCAATGTTCCTCCTGCATCCCTCCAGAGTCCACCTTCTCATCTCAGCTTCACTATCACTTCTTGGACTCTGGCTCTTCTCTCCTCTAACACATCTTGATGAGAGATATTCCTCTGTCTCCAGAGCGTTCCAGTTGTATGCCCCATTCCTCCTCCAGCAGCCATAACAGTCAACTGAATCCTTAGACCCAGTTAGCCCCATAGAATAACTCATCAAAAGTAATGAAGCTGTTCTGAGAATTCTCCATAGTACCAGCTTCAGAGAACAGAAGCTTCAAGAGAAGAAAATGGCCCAACGCCACCATACCACTGAGCTGAATATTCAGAAGTGTGACTTCGGCTGATTACAGCCCTTTCCTGTAAGAGCTAATCTGCCCATTCCTCATGTTGCTTGATTGTAAATCATGATATGAGCCAATAATCCACGAGTATTCTTTTTTATTAATAGTATAACCATTTAAATCTATACAAAATTCTGGAAATGTCACTATAGTTACAACTCACAAGTTTTAATGTTTAGTATTTGTATTATTGTAAACTTTTTTTGCCTCCCATATTTAAATTAGTTTACTGGGGCCTAATAATTTAAGTGTCTATTTTGATGATTTTTGGCTAATGCACATCATCATAGAGCCCAACCACACTCCAGATACTGACCATTTCCTCCACCCAGACATGTTCCTCATTTCCTGTCACTGTCGTCCCTCCCCGCCATCTCCACTGCCACTTGTTTTACGCAAGCTCTGATGAACTTTTAGGTCACTACAGTTTTGCCTTTTCCACAGTTTTCTATCAATGGAATCACACAGTATATGCTGCTTAGTGTGACGCTTCTCAGACTTCTCATGTTGCGTGCCATCAGTAGCTCATTTGTTTTTACAGCTGAGTGTTTCTCCATGTTACGACTTTACTGTATTTTATCTACCCATTCTCCAGTTGACAGCCATTTGGGTCATTTCCAGTTTTGATTATAATAAATTATGCTGGTGTGAATACATCCAAGTCTTAGTATGAATGTACACATTCTCATGCGTAAAAGCCTAGAATCAGAATTGCTGAATCACAAGGTAAGTATGCATTTAACTATAAAATGAACTGCAAAAACTGCTTTCCAAAGTGGCGCCACCATTTTCCCACAAGCAATGTATGAGTTACGGTTGCTTCACATTCTTTCTCACACTTGGGATTGTACGTTTTGTGTTTTAAGTTCTAGCTATTCTAGGGAGTACCTAGTGGTTCTAATATTCATTTTCCTGAAAACTAGTAATACTGACCAACTTCTCACATTATTGGTCATTTACATAACTTCTTTTGTGAAATGTCTCTTGAAATCCTCTAATATTTTTTAAAAGCATGTGTCTTTTTTGAGTTGTGACTTTGTTTTTTTAAATATATGTTCTTGATAATAGTCATTCTTCAGATATGTGTTGGGTAAGTACTCTGAGAGTTGCCTTTTCATTTTCTTAAAGAAAAAATTTTAAATTTCAGTAAAGTCTAATTCATCTATTTATTTCATGGTTCATTTGGCAGGAGCTGGGGGCTCAATTTAAGAAATTGTCTACTCAAGGTCACGAGAATTGTCTTGTGTTTCCTTCTGAAAACTTCATGCCTCTTATATGTAGTCTATGATACACTTTGAGTTAAGAGTTGTGAATTATGTGAGATGGAGTCTAAGTAAGTTTTGCTTTTGTCCCCCTTTTTTTTAAAATCATTCACATATTCAACAGCTTCAGACCAAGTCTTTGAAAAGAATCTGCTTTCACCATTGAATTACCTCGGAGCCCTTGTCAAAAATCAATTGAACATATATGTGTGGGTCTATTTCCAACTCTATTTTCTAATATTGTAACATGTTCATGTAGGCAGAAAATCCTTTAGCCGATACCACAATGTCTTGGTTGCTGTAGCTTTATAATAAGCCTTGAAATCAAAAAGTATATAATTTCCAACTTTTTCTTTTTAAAATATTTTTGGTTTTTCTAGGTCCTTTGATTCCATATAAATGTTGGTGCCCATCCCTTGACAATTGCTACAAAAACTTGCTGCACCCGGGGAAAATTACTACCTTAGCTACCATGTCTTACAATACATAAAATGATATATTTCTCCATTTATTTAGGTCTTTAACTTCTCTCAACAAAATTTTGTAGTTTTCAGTGAATAAGATGTATACTTTTCACTCGTCTTTTCTTAAGTTTATTCAAAGGAATTTTATTTGTGCTTTTGTAAACAGACTTGCTTTGAAAACTGAGTTGTTCCTCATTTCAACATCCAATAGGTGTTTTCCTAACTGATATATAGAAAGGCAATGGCATTTTTTTTTGGCTGGGCCCGGTGGCTCACGCCTGTAATCCCAGCACTTTGGGAGGCCGAGGCCGGCGGATCACGAGGTCAGGAGATCAAGACCATCCTGGCTAACACAGAGATACCCCGTCTCTACTAAAAATAAAAAAAAAAAAATTAGCTGGGTGTGGTGGCCGGCCGCCTGTAGTCCCAGCTACTCCGGAGGCTGAGGCAGGAGAATAGCATAAACTCGGGAGGCGGAGCTTGCAGTGAGCAGAGATTGTGCCACTGCACTCCAGCCTGGGCGACAGAAGGAGAGTCGGTCTCAAAAAAAAAAGGAAAAAGAAAAAGGCAATGGCATTTTTAATCTCAACCTTATTTTTTGTAAAAACCTCGCTAAAGTCACTTCTTTTCTTTAGCTTTATTTCTGTAGATTTCTTTGGATTTTCTGCCTACATTAACATGTTAACTACAAAAAAAGTTAATTTTGCTCATTTCTGATCTGTATTCTCTTTGCTTTGTTTTCTGACCTTACAGAAATCCCAGTGCAATGTTGAAAGGGCATTCTGGCTTGTCCCTAATCTCAAGTACAATGTATTCAGTCTTTTACCATTAAGTGTGATGTTGGTTGTAGATTTTTCATATCTGTCTCTTATCAGGTTGAGAAAGTTATCTTTTATTTCTAGGCTGCTAAGAGTTTTTGCTGTTTTGAGTCAAATTACACGAAATGCTTTTTTTACCCCAATTGAGAAAAATCCTACTTATTCTCCCTGATTGTTAATATGTAATATTATGATTTGTCAATGTTAATATGAAATATATGGATTTGTCAGCTATTAAATAATCTTGCATTCCTGAGATAAAACCCAGTTGTTTGTAACTTGTTTTGTATATTGTATCATTTTCTTTGAAAATATGTTAAGGATTTTTGCGTTTATGTTCATGCGGGACATTTCTTTCTATTCTTTTAATTCTTTGGCTTTGGTGTGAGAGTAATACTGGCCTTGTAAGGTGAGTTGAGAAGGGTTATTTTGCCTCAATTTTATGCAACTGCTTTTATGGCTTTAGTATTTTCTTTTTCCTCCTAAAATATTTGATAGAATTAACCAATGAAGCCAGCTGAGTCTGGACATTTCTATTTGTGAATATTTTAAATTATGAATTCAATTTCTTTCATTGATACGGGACAGTTCAGTTGTCTGTTTCTTAAGTCAGTTTTGGTAAATGTGGTTTCTTTAAAAATATGACTATTTCATTTAAGTTGTCATGATATTTTCTTTTCTTTTACTATCTATAGAAACTGGAAGGATGTCCACTCTTTTACTCCTGATATTGGAATTTCCTTCGGTTTAATATGTTTTATTTACCTTCTTAGATGGAAATTTAGATATTTTATGCTTTTCTTCCTTATAGCAATATTCCTTAAAGCAATAAATGAACTCTCTAATACTATTTTAGCTACATCTCACAACTTTTGATATGCTGTACTTTGTTATTGAATTCAAAATATTTTCTAGTTTCCCTTTTGATTTCTTCTTTGGCCAGTAAATTTTTTGTATTTTTAGCAGAGACAGAGTTTCACCATGTTAGCCAGGATGGTCTCGATCTCTGAATCTCATTACCCACCCACCCCAGCCTCCCAAAGTGCTGGGATTACAGGCGTGAGCCACCACACCCAGCCTCGGTATATAGTTTATCTTGATGAATATTCATGTGCACTGGAAAAGAACATGTGTTTTTTTGTTGCTGGG
Organism: Homo sapiens; assembly: GCF_000001405.40. Taxonomy (NCBI): domain Eukaryota; kingdom Metazoa; phylum Chordata; class Mammalia; order Primates; family Hominidae; genus Homo; species Homo sapiens. The sequence continues at coordinate 11,428,443 of NC_000018.10, forward strand.
TGGAGGATTCTAGCTGTGTTATTTAGATCACGTTGTTTGGTAGTGTTATTCAAGTCTCTATGTTTATTGATTGTCTACTTTCATCAATTAGAAAGGAGTAGTGAAATTTCCCACTATAATTGGTCCTTTTTCCATTTCTTCCTTTAGTTTTGACAGTTTTGTTTAATATATTTTGGACTCCATTATAACACACACATATATTTTTAAGTGTTACCTCTTCCTGCTAAATTAAATATCATTATAAAAATCTCTGTAGCAAAACTCCTTACCATCTATTTTTAATAATATAATTTTTCTTTGTTATACTTACCGTTTTCATATCTTTTTTCAGTATTTTTACTTTCAACCTATTTGCCTCTTTGTATTATTCACACTACATTTATTATAAATAGCATAAAGTTGGATATGGTTGCTCTTTGTCCTGTCTGATAATCTGGCTTTATTTGAAGGTGACGTATGTAATATAACTAAGAGGTAATACTATTTTCTAATCCTGAACTAGTCTCATGGACACTAAAGCAATATTCCATTATGCACATATTAATTTCCTTTCCCTCAGTAATCATTTGCTTTATTTCCACTTATTAAATTTACCTATGCCCCTCCTCAATATACAACTATTAGGCACAACAAAAGGATTAGCCCATAAAGCTAGTAGCAATATAAATCAAACCTATACTTTCCTTTTCATTCATTCCCAATGACTCCGGGAAAGATTGGATAAATATAAGCATATAGGATTATCTCATCTGCTAAGCAGATAGGAGCCTAAAGATGTTTAAATGAGAAAGGAAAAGTTGACAATGATTATGCCCTTTGGAACTTAGCCAATTATATTCAAAGGCATTGCCATTTTGTCTTGTTTAGCAATAGAAATTCTAGAAGCAATCTGGGACCCATTTTATGAGGTCAAGTGAAGAAACAGAAAATTTTTTAGGGGGGGCTTCAAGATGGCTACATAGAGACATCTCGCACCTCGTCCACAAAGAAGAACTTAAATATTGAGTAGGTAATCAAACTTCGAATAGACAATCCAAGAGAGAACACTAGAATTCAAAGAGAGAAGTGACAGGAAACACCTAAATGAAGGAGAGGGATCCGGAGTCTACTCGACCAGGATTGGCTGGGAGCCTGGAGAGACTCCCCAAAGCGGAAAAGGGAAAAGAGATACTCAGTGGTCCACATTCCCATCGGGTACTCCTGCAATCCTAGCCATGCTAAAGTTCCTCAGCCCTCGTGGGCCATGAAACTAACAGAGTGAGGTTCCTGAAGACTATACAATGACATTGCTCCAGAGAGAGAGGTAACACTGGGTTTCACACCCCCAAACCCTAAGCAGCTACAGTACAGTGTCATTGAGAGCCTGGTCCATGATAAACTGTACCCTGCCATAGGGCTCAACAGCCCCTGCATCTCCACATCCCTGGAGGCCCACTGATTTCCCCTGCCTACAACTAACACTGCAGTTTGCTGCTACTACTTGGGCTGAAGCATCATGTGCCACCAGACACAATCTTGTAGATTTGAGAAGTGGAAACACCATGTATTTTCACATGTCTGGACAAAGTCCCCCTGCCTGCAGCTGCCATCACTGTGCTGCCAGGGCTGAAGCACGAGTGATGTGCAGGCTGCTGCCGCCAGGGCAGAAATACAAGCCAAGTGTGGGCTGATGCCACTGGGACTAAATCACAAGCAAAGCACCTGTTCCTACTCAGCCTGCATATGGCTACCACTGAAACCAACCCCACCCTCACAGGTAGTAGGGACATTATGCAACTGTTGCTGCCCCTAACCCAAGCATTTCTTCAGAGACCTGGGGATAATCCCACCCTGCCTCACACAGCCAGCACCAGTATGCCCCATCGCGGGGGGTGAGGGGGAGGCGGGGAGGCAAGAGGATAATTCCACCTAGCCCAGTTTCAACCCCTACTCATGTAAAGCATGCAGTACAGGGTCCTTGGTATCGCCCATCCCAGTCCAACACCATTGGCACCTAGGCACTACTCCCCGGGGCCCGGGGGCCAACTCACCCTGTCACCACTACTACAGATAGTATCACATGCACATGCCACCTATTGGCCTGGAGACTGCCCTACCTTAGCCCATTGGAGCTACCGGCAATACTAGCATGTACTTCTCTAGACCCAGATGGTTGCTACTGCCACTGCCCCACCACACCTTTTGCCCAGTGGTCCAAGAACCCACCCACCTCAACCACCACTACTCCTCCTGGCACCTAAGTAAGCCACTTGTAGGCTCAAAAATTGACCCATCTGGACGCACTAATGCCAGTGCACACCACACTGTGTACACTGGCCCAGCACAAGCATGCTCAGCTCACTGCTACAACAATGGCCCAAATGGCTGGCTCACATGGCGTTTCAGTCCTCAGCAAAACTTCACCACAATCTCCACTAATAACTTCACACAGTTTTCCACAATGGCTGAAATAATCTACACTCGCTCCTAGTGTATAAATGTTCCTTTTTCTCCACAACCTTGGCAGCATCTGTTACTTTTTGACTTTTTAATAACAGCCATTCTGGTTGGTGTTAGATGGTCTCTCACTGTGGCTTTGATTTGTATTTATCTAATGATCAGTGATGTTGAGCTTTTTTTCTTATGATTGTTCGCTACATGTATGTCTTCTTTTGACTAGTGAATGTCCCTGCCCTTTGCCCATTTTTTTGAGAATACTTAAAAATAATACGAAAGAATCGGAAAAAGAAATTCAAGATATGAATGAAAAATTTTTTAAAAGAATAAAAAAACAAATTCTGGAACTGAAGAGTGCATTCAAATGAAATACAAAACACATTTTAAAGCTTCATCAATAGTATAGATGAAGCAGAAGAAAGAAACGAAGAACTTGAAGACAGATCTTTTGAAATAACCTGGTCAAACTTTACAAGGCAAAAGAGATAGGGGGACCTATTTTTACCATTCTCAAGGAAAAGAAATTTCCAACAAGAATTTCATATCCCACCAAATGAAGCTTCACAAGCAAAGGAGAAATAAAACTTTTTCCAGACAGACAGTAACTGAGGGAATTTGCTACTTAGACCAGCCTTACAAGAGATCCTTAGAAGAGTTCTCACATGGACATGAAAGAACAGTATCTGCCACCATAAAAACACCCTAAGAACATAGCCCACAGACCCTATAAAGCAACCATACAGTGGAAACTCAAAGGAATCAATTAACAATCTCACAGTATCATCAAAACATCACCTACCACTGTGTCCGGAATTGGTGGGTTCTTGGTCTCCCGGACTTCAAGAACACGCTGCAGACCCTCACAGTGAGTGTTACAGTTCTTAAAGATGGTGGGTCCGGAGTTTGCTCCCTCTGATGTTCAGATATATCCCGAATTTTTTCCTTCTGGTGGGTTCCTGGTCTCGTGGGCTTCAGGAGTGAAGCTGCAGACCTTCACAGTGAGTGTTACAGCTCATAAAGGCAGCCAGGACCCAATCAATGAACAGCAGCAAATATTATTGGGAAGAACAAAAAGAACTAACCGTCCACACCACACAAACCCACCGCAGCCGGTTGCGACACACAGCTGGGGCAGCCTGCTTTTATTCCCTCATCTGACACCACCCACATCCTGCTGATTGGTCCATTTTACAGAGAGCTGATTGGCCCATTTTACAGAGAGCTGATTGGTCCGTTTTGACAGGGTGCCGATTGGTGCATTTACAAACCTTGAGCTAGACCCAGAGTGCTGATTGGTGCATTTACAATCCTTTAGCGAGACATAAATGTTCTCCAAGTCCCCACCTCACTCAGAAGCCTACCTGGCTTCACCTAGTGAATCCTGCGTGACAGTCCTGCACCTGCACTCTTCAGTCCTTGGGCAATGGATGGCACCTGGCGCCCTCGGAGCAGGGGGCGGCGCCTGTTGGGAAGGCTTGGGCTGCAGGGGAGCCCACCGCAGGGAGGGTGGCTCGGGCATGGTGGGCTGCAGGTCCCCAGCCGTGTCCCACGGGGAGGTGGTTGAGGCCCGGCGAGAATTCGAGTGTGGCAAGCGTGGTGCAGACCGGCCAGCAGCGTTGGTGGATCCGACGCACCCTTTGCAGCTGCTGGCCCGGGTGCTAAGCCCCTCATTGTCCGGGCTGGGCAGCGCCAGCCGGCCTCTCCGAGTGCGGGGTCCACCAAGCCCGCGCCCATCCAGAACTCGTGCTGGCTCGGAAACGCTGTGCGCAGTCATGGTTCTCTCCGGCGCCTCTCCCTCCGCACCTGCCTGCAAGCAGAGGGAGCCGGCTCCGGCCTCGTCCAGTCCCAGAGGGGTCCCACAGGCAGCGGCAGGCTGAAGGACTCCTCAAACTCCGCCAAAGCAGACGCCGCGAGGCCAAGGAAGCGCTGAGAGCCAGCGAGGGCTGCTAGCATGTTGTCACCTCTCACCAATATTAACCTTAAATGAAAATAGTCTAAATGCTCCTACTTAAAAGGTGCAGGGTGGCAAGTTGGACCAAGAAAACACACAACTGTCTGCTGTCTTCTAGAGACCCATTCCACATATAACGATACCTATAGGCTCAAAAGTTAAGAGCTGGAGAAAAATCTATTATGCAGATGGGTAACAAAAAAGAGCAGGGATTACAATTCCTATATCAAATAAAACACAAATGAAACCAACAACAATAAATAGGTACAAAAAAAGGCACAAAGAGTTCAATTCAATGAGAACACTTAACTACCCTAAATATATATGCACCCAATATTGGAGCACTCACATTCATTAAACAAGTATTTCTAGACCTATGAAAAGACAAAGAAAGCCACACAGTAATAGTGGGAGACTTCAGCACCCCAGTGACGATTTTAAACAGATCGTTTAGGCAGAAAACTAACAAATCTGGAATTAAATTAGACACATGAGCAACTGGGCCTAATACGCATCTATAGAATATCAAACACAACATATAATCATATTTATATATTTTATATATATATTTTATATATATATATAGAGAGATGCCTCTCAGCTGCACATAGAACATACTCTAAGATCAACCACATGCTTGGCCATGAAGCAAGTCTCAATAAATTTTAAAAAGTCAAAATCATACCCACCATAATCTCATACCTGGGGTGGCATAAAAATAGAAATCAATACCAATAAGAACTCTCAAAACCACACAATCATATGGAAATTAAACAACTTGTTCATGAATAACTTTTGGATAAACAATGAAATGAAGGCAGAAGTAAAAAATTATTTGAAACAAATGAAAACAGAGACACAACATACCAAAATATCTGGGATGCAGCAAAAGTAGTTAAAGAGGAAAGTTTACATCACTAAACGCCTACCTCAAAAAGTTAGAAAGATCTCAAATTAACGATCTAACATCATACCTAGAGGAATTTAAAAAACAAGAGCAAATTAACCCCAAGTCAAGTAGAAGAAAATAAATAACTAAAATCAGAGCAGAGCTGAATGAAATTGAGACCCAAAATTCCATACAAAAGATAAACAAAATCAAAAGTGTGTTTTTTGAAAGGACAAACAAGATAGATAAATGGCTAGCTAGACTTGCAAAGACAAGAGAGAAGATCCAAATGAGCACAATCAGAAATGAAAAAGATGACATTACAACCAAACCCAAAGAAATACAAAAGATCCTAAGTGGCTATTATGAACACCTCTAAGCACACAAATCAGAAAATCTAAAGGAAATGAATAAATTCATGGAAATACACAACCCCCCAAGATTGAATCTGGAAGAAATGAAACCCTGAACAGACGAATAGAGAGTTCCAAAATTGAATCTGTAATCAAAAATATACCAACCAATAAATAAAAATCTGGACCAAAAGGATTCTGCCACTCGTACAAAAAAGAGCTGGTACCAATTCTACTGAAACTACTCCAAAAAAATTGAGTAGGAACACCTCTCTAATTCATTCTATGAAGCCAACGTCACCCTCATACCAAAGCCTGCCAAACACACAATAAAAAAAAGAAAACCGTAGGCCAATATCCCTGATGAACATAGATAAAAAAATCCTCAAGAAAATTCTAGCAAACCAAATCCAACAGCACAACAATTCACCATGATCAAGTAGGTTTCATTCCTGAGATGCAGGATTGGTTCAACTCACTTGAGGCAATAAATGTGATTCACCACGTAAACAGAATTAAAAACAAAAATCATACGATCATCTCAAGAGACACAGAAAAAGCTTTTGATAAAATCCAACATCTCTTCATGATAAAAACCCTCAAGGAACTACACATGAAAGGACCATATCTCAAAAATAATAAGAGCTATCTATAACAAACTCACAGTCAAGAACATAGTGAATGAGAAAAACAGAAAGCATTCCTCTTGAGAACTGATACAAGATGAGAATGCCCATTTTCACCACTCTTATTCAACAAAGTACTGTAAGTCATATCCAGAGCAACCAGGAAAGAAAAAGAAAAAAAAAAGGCATCCAAATAAGAAAATAAGGTGTGAAATTACCTCTATTCACTGACAATAGAATTCGATACTTGGAAAACCCTAAAGACTCCATCAAAGTGCTTCTAGAACTAACAGATTACTTAAATAAAGCTTCAGGATACAAAATTCAACATACAAAACTCAATAGCATGTCTATACATCAACAGTGTTCAAGCTGAGAGTCAAATCAAGAATGCAGTCCCATTTACAATAGCAACAAAAAATGAAATATCTAGGAATGCATCAAACAAAGGTTAACAATCTCTACAAGGAGAGCTATAAAATACTGCTAAAATAAATCATCAATGACACAAACACAAACATGGAAAAACATTCTATGCTCATGGATTGGAAGAATCAATATTGCTAAAATGCCCATACTGCCCAAAGCAATCTATGGATTGCTATCTACCAGTATTTCCATCAAACTACCAAATCATTTTTTCACTGAACTAAAAACACTATTCTAAAATTCATATGAAAGCAAAAAACAGGCTAAATAGCCAAAGCAATGCTAAGCAAAAAGAACAAAGCCACATGCATCACATTACCGAACTTTACTACAAGGCCATAGTTATCAAAACAGCATGGTATTGGTACAAAAACAGGCATATAGACCAATAGAACAGAATAGAGAATCCAGCAATAAAGCCACACATTCACAACTATCTCATCTTCAACAAAGTTTACAAAAATAAGCAATTGGAAAAGGACTTTCTATTCAATAAATGATGTTGGAATAACTGGTTATCTATAAGCAGAAGAATGAAATGGACCTCTACCTATCACCATATGCAAAAATTAAGTCAATGATAAACAACAAGAAATAGAAAGAGGAAAGAAAAGAAAGAAAAGAAAAGAACCAGAAATCAATTAACAAAATGACAGGAATAAGTCCCCACATATCAATAATAGCCTTGAATGTAAATGGATTAAACTTTCCACTTAAAAGATATAGACTGTCTGGATTAAAAAGTGAACCAACTACATGCTGCCTACAAGAAACTCATCTCACCTGTAAAGTCACATACAGACCAAAAGTGAAAAAGTGGGAAAAGATATTTCATGCAATTGGAAACCAAAAGTGAGCAGGAATAGCTACAATTACATCAGATAAAACATACTTAAAGTAAAAAATAGTAGAAGGAGGCAAAGAAGTTATTATCATTATTATTCTAAACATATATACGTACAACTGTGGAGCACTCATACTTTTAAAGTAAATACTTTTAAACTTAAAGGAAGAGGTAGACTTCAATACAATAATAGTCCCCACTTCAACACCTCACTCTCAACATTAGACATCATCTAGAGAGAAAAATCAACAAATAAATATTGAATTTAAACTGTACATTAGAACTAAATGGACCTTATGGACATTTGCAAAAATTTTATTGAACAGCTACAGAATACACACTTCTCTCCTCAGTACCTGGAACATTCTTCAAGATAGACCTTATGTTAAGACACAAAACAAAACAAAGTCTCAACAAATTTAAAAGAATCAAAGTCATATCAAGTATCTTCTCAGACAACAAGGGAATAAAACTAGCAGTTAGTAACAAGAGGAACTATGGAAACTGTACAAATACATGGAAATTAAAGAACATACTCCTGAATGAACATTGGGTCAAGAAAGGAATTAAAGAGAGAATAAAAAGTCTAAAAATAAATGAAAATCAAAATACAACATATGAAACCTTTGGAATACAACAAAATCAGCGCAAAGAGAGAATGTTAGAGCAATAAGAGCCTACATTAAAAAAGTGGAAAGTTTTCAAATAAACAGCTTAATGATGCACCACAAGGAACTAGAAAAGCAAGAACAAACCAAACTCAAAATTAGCAGGAAAAAAAGCAATAATAAAATTGAGAGCAGAAGTAAGTGAAATAGATACTTTAAAAGTACAAAGGATCAACAAAGTGAGAAGTTCGTTTTTGAAAAGATTTTTAAAAATGGATAAACCACTTGGTAGACTAACCAATAAAAACTGAGAGTAGGCTAAAACAGAAAAATCAGAAATGAAAAAGGAGACATTACAACTGATGTCACAGAAATATAAAAGATCATCAGAAACTATTATGAACAACTATACAGTAACAAACTGAAAAACCTGGAGAAAATGAATAAATTTTGCAGTACATACAATCTACCAAGATTGAATCACGAAAAAATAGAGAACCTGAAGAAACCAATAACAAATAATGTAATAGAAACAGTAATAAAAACTTTCCTGAGAAAGAAAAGTGCAGGACCAGATTGCATCATTGCCAAATTCTACCAAACTTTCAAAGAACAAATACCAAGTGTCCTCAAACTATTCCAAAAAGTTAAAGGGAAGGGGACTTTCCATAACTCATTCTGCAAGGATGGAATTACTCACATACCAAAAACAGACAAGGATGCAAAAAAAATATGACAGGCCAGTAACTCTGATGAACGTAGACACAAAAATCATCAACAAAAAACTAGCAAGCCAAACCCAAGAGCACATTAAAAAGATAATACATGATAATCAAGTGGGGTTTATTCCAGGCATGTAAGATGGCTCAAGGTAACACAAATTAATATATGTGATACATCACATCAACAGAATGAAGGACAAGAAGCATATAATCATCTCAATAGACACAGGAGCATTTGACAACATTCAACATCTGTTTATGATAAAAACTCTCAACAAAGTAGGCATATAAGAAATGAATCTCAACATAATAAAGGCCATATATGACAGACTCACAGCTAACATCGTAGTGAATGGGTAAAAGTTGAAAGCAATCTCTCTAAGAACTGAAACAAGAAAAGGATCCGCACTCTTACCACTCTTATCCAACATGGTGCTTGCAGTCCTAGCCAGAACAGTCACGCAAGAGAAAGAAATAAAAGCCATTCAAACTGGAAAAGAAGAAGTCAAATTGTCCCTCTTTGCTGATGATAGAATCTTATATCGACAAAAACCTAAAGGTTCCATCAAGAAACTCTTAAATCTGATAAATAAATTAAATAAAGTTGCAGGATACAAAATCAACATATAAAATCAGTAGCCTTTCTATACACCAATAATGAACTAGATAAGAAAGAAATCAAGAAGGCAACCCAATTTATAATAGCTATAAAAAATTACCTAGGAATAAATTTAATCAAGGAAGTGAAAAATCTCTATAAGGAAAACTGCAAAATACTGATGAAAGAAATTGAAGAGGACACAAACAAATGGAAAGACATCCCATGCTCAAGGATCATGATAATTAATATTATTAAAATGTCCATACTTCCCAAAGCAATCTAAAAATTCAACACAATCTCTATCAAAATAATAATGACATTTTCACAGATTTTTTTTAAAGTCCTAAAATTTGTATGGAACCAAAATGCAGCCTGAATAGCTGAAGAAATCCTGAGAATAAAGAATAAAGCTGGAGGCATCACATTACCTGACCTCAAAATATAGTAGAAGGCTATAGTAACTAAAACAGCTTGGCATTAGTATAAAAATAGACATATAGACCAATGGAACAGAGAATCCAGAAATAAATCCATGTATTTATAGCCAACTGCTTTTCAATATAGGTGCCAAGAACACAGATTGGGGAAAGGACACTGTCTTTAATAAATGGTGCTAGGAAAATTTGATATCCATATGCAGAAGAATGAAGCTGAACCTCTATCTCTGACCATGCATAAAAATCAACTCAAGATGAATTAAAGACTTAAATATAAGACCTGAAACTATAAAACTACTAGGGGAAAACACTTCAATATACTGGTCTAGGCAAATATTTTATAGCTAAGATTTTAAAAGGACAGACAACAAAAACAAAAATAGGCAAATGAAACCATATTAAATAAAAACCTTCCACACAGCAAAGGCAACAATCAACAGAGTGAAGAGACAATCTGTAGAATGGGAGAAAATATTTGCAACCTGTTCATATGAGAAGAAACTCATATCTAGAATATACCAAGAACTCAAACAACGTAAAATAATTAATAATAATAGTAATAATCCCATTAAACAGTAGGCAAAAGACATGAATAGACATTTCTCAAAAGAAGATACACAAATGGCTAACAGGTTTTTTTTTAAATGCTCAACATCATTAATCATCAGGAAAGGCAAATCAAAATTACAAAGAGATATCATCATATCGCTCCTGTTAGAATGGCTATGATAAGACAAAAAATAAAAGAGGCTGGCATAGATGCAGAGAAAAGGGAACACATATACTGTTGGTGATAATGTAAATTAGTGTAGCCACTATGGGAAATATGATAGGGACTTCTGAAAAAACTAAAAATAGAACTATCATATGATCCAGCAATCCCACTACTGGGTATTTATCCAAAGGAAAAGAAATCAGTGTATTAGAGATACCTGCACTTGCGTGCTTACTGTAGCGCTATTCACAGTAGCAAGATATGGACTCAACATAAGTGCCCATCAAAGGATGAATGGATAAAGAAAATGTGGTGTATATTGTGAACCCCAAATATCTGAAGCAGTTCTCAATTTAGGAAATGTATTGTGCCAAAGTGAAGGATGCTCACCCATGACACAGCCTCAGGAGGTCCTAATGACATGTGCCCAAGGTGGTCCAAGCACAGCTTGGTTTCATTCATTTTAGGGAGACGTGAGACATTAATCAATATGTGTAAGATGAACATTGGCTTAGTCTGGAAAAGTGGAACAACTCAAAGTGGGAAGGTGTCTTCCAGGTCATAGGTAGGCAAAGACAAATAATTGTATTCTTTTGTGTTTCTGATCAGCCTTTCCAAAGGAGGCAATCATATAGGCATTTATCCCAGTGAGCAAAGGGATGACTTTGAATAGAATGGGAGGCAGGTTTGCCCTAAAGCAGTTCCCAGCTTGACTTTTCCCTTTAGCTTAGTGATTTTGGAGCCCCAAGATTTATTTTCCTTTCACAATATATACACAATGGAATACCACTCAGCCACAAAAAGGAATGAAATCATGTCACTTGCAGCAACATGGATGTAACTGGAGGTCATTATGTTAAGTAAAATAACAAGGCACAAAAAAACACACATCACATGTTTTCACTCATATGTGGGAGCTAAAAAAGTTGATCTCACAGAGGTAGAGAGTGGAATGATAGATACCAGAAACCAGGGAGGGTGTATGGGTGGAAGGTGGGGATGAAGAGAGATTTGTTGATGGATACAAATGTACAGTTAGATAGGAAGAATAAGTTCTAATGTTCAATAGCAGAGTAGGGTAAATATAGTTAGCAACAATGCATTGTATATTTCAAAGTAGCTGGAAGACTTGAACTGTCCACAACACAAAGAAATGGTTAAGTGCTTAAGGTGATGATGGATACCCCAAGTGCCCTGACTTGAGCAATACACATTCTATGTGTGTAGCAAATACTGACATGTATCCCATAAATAAATGAAATATTATGTATCCATAAAAAATGAGGAGTAAAAATGATTAAATAAGTGACAATATCTTCTCCCTTCCCTCTTCTTTCATTTCCAATATATCTTTCAACTGGTCCGATGATCTTTCATGTCACACATGGGAAGATGTGACACATATTCATTTATTCATACAAGCCATTCCTTTAATCCTTCATTTCAACACATTTCCCCAATTTAGTAAGCAGGTGTTTTGATCGTCCATGCTAGTTTTCTAATAATCCACTGCTCTGTGGATGGTATGATACATACATCTATTGTATGTGGCATTTTAGCCTATCATTGCACTGTATCCTCGGTGAAACAGGGTCCTCGATATGAAGATACATCAGTAGAGGATCTAAATTGAAATAAAATTTATTTTTCTAATCATCTGATGATATTCAAAGTATTTGCTCCCATTACTAAATCCAACTCTAAAATAGTGTTCAGCACATTCAAAACCCATCCCTATCCTTCTGGGGCCACAGGCAAAGGCCAGTGTAGTCCACTGCCTACCCGTATCCTCTCAGTACATAAAATCCTTTAGTCTATAGTTAACCTATAGGAAAAAAATAATAAAAGTTAGTCTCATTTTGAGCCTGAGAGGTAGTCAGGGGGATCTGCCTTTCTTAAATTGCTTGACTGCCCCCATGACCACTAACCTCGTGTACATACTAGGCCACCTCCAGGGAGGACTAGAACATTGTTTTATTGCCTCCAATGCCCTTCCAAAAGTGAAAGAAAGTTTTACTGTTGAGTATCAACATAACACACTTTGATTTTTTCTTTTTATATCTGTATTAAACTACTGCTGTGGAACAAATTATGCCCCCAAACAATGTAAGATAATAATACTTATTATCTCACATAATTTCTGAGGATAAGAAATTCAGTAGCAACTTAGTTGGGTGGTTGTGCCTTAGAAGCTTTCATGGAGTGGTGATCAAGCTGTCTGTTAGGGCTGCAGTCATCTGAAGGCTTGAGTGTGGTGGCTGGTAGATCTGCTTTTCATGTCACTTGAATGGCTGTTTTTTCTCACCATGCTGGCCTTTAAATAAGGCCGCTTATCACACTTCAGCTGGCTTTTTCTGGAATGACTGACACAAGGGAGACCAAAGGAGTAAGTTATCTCTATTGGTCACATAGACCATCCTTAATATGACAAGGGAGGGAACCACACAAGGTTGTAAATACCAAGAGGTAGGAATTATTTGGGGCCATGTTGGAAGCTGGCTTAGGAAGCCTAAAATGCTTTTCCATAACATTGTACCCCTTACTATGATTTCTTTTAATTTCTAGTCATCTAAGACCCATATTCCAGATCATATCATCAATTTACTGGCTGTGGCCCAAGAGTCATTATCAATCCATACCTCACTTTTGTTAATATCACTTAGTTTTGTTAATATATTTATGAACACCACTCTGAATTCTGTCCACTGAGTGAATGAATCTTTCCCTTCAATAATTGTCTAGCCATAAGCAGGTTACAATGCAGCCAACTTTGAGGTGACTGTGGGCCCTCCACATTTGAACTACATTCTGTAAGCTGTGCTACTTTTGGGGATCCTCCAAAAATACTCATTCAGATATGGATTTAAATAAGTCATCAGGGAGATTGATGTAGGGCTCCTAGACATAGCTGCCACTTGCTTGTGCTTGCAATGGGTTCCTTCAGTGGATTCCCCTGTGACGTATTCTTGAATACACCATTTCTTTTTGATGCAGTCCCTTTGTGCAGTTAGCTCCCAATTGGAGTATTTGTCTTATATAACCCATTACATGCAGAGTATTCCAGGTTTCAAAATAATTTGTGTCATTTAGTAATAGATACAGTTTCCAACAGGGATCAATAAAAGGCTAATAGTGGTCTCTCAAAAAGAGTTTACCTGACAGCCATCTCAAGCAGTTTTCTAATTTAAAATATTGAGTGGTCATCACTGGTTGGCAATCAAGGGCTTCTGTCAAACATCCTGTCAGCATGGGTATTTGTTGTGGGCACTTTTAATATCATTTCATTGAATTGTTTTTAGAGGTTGCTTTGGAAATTAAAACATGCATCTTTAATTTATCACAACCTACTTAAAGCTAAATTTTTAATTACTTTTGATGAAATGTTGAAACTTTTCAATAGAAATTCATACAAATTGAGGGGAAATATGTATATATACACACATATATACTCACATATTTGCCGTTTCTAATGCTTTTACTTCCTTGTTCAGGATTGAGTTACTATCAGGTGTTACTTTTCTTCATTCTGAAAGACTTTCTTTGTATACTTTAAGGTACAAATCCGCTAGCAGTAAAAAAAAATTTTTTTTTCTTTTCAGATGGAGTCTTGCTCTGTTGCCAGGCTGGAGTGCAGTGGCAGCTAGCAGTGAAATTCTTTGTTGTTCATCTGAAAACGGCTTAATTTAATACTTCAATTTTGAAAGATAGTTTTGAAGGATATAAAATTATTGGTTACAGTTTTATTTTTCTTTCAGTCTCTTGTGACATTCCAACATCACCTGTCTTCCATTGTTTCTGTTGAAATGTTGTCCACCAATCTTATCATTGTTTATCTGTATACACTAAGTCATTTTTTGGCTGCTTTCATGACTTTTTCTTCATTTTTACTTTTTTGGAAATTTGATTATGATGTGTAGTCTAGTTTCTTTGTATTCACCTTCTTCAAGATTGATCTCTTGGATCTGTTAAGTTAAAGGTGTTCAACAAGTTTAGGAATTTCAGCATTGTCAAGTGTTTTATCCTCCATTTTCTTTCTTCTCTCCCTCTAAAGTTCCAGTTTCATATATATTGGAGCTCTTTGTATTGTTCCACAAATCTCTGAGGTTTGTTCATTTTTCTTCAATTTTTGACATTGTTTTTACAAATTATATAATTTTTATTACCTACCTTCAAGGTCACTAATTTTTTATTCTTCCATCTAAAAGAGTTTTTTGTCTATCTAGGATGAAAATTCAAATTTCTAAGAAAATAAATCCAAATGAGTTCTCTAATGTCAAAATTTGTTTACTTTTTTGTAGACTCATAACAAAGAAAATTAAAAGTCTTTCTCCCATTTTTTATTGGAAAATTATTTCTCAAAAGTAAATTGTTTCTTGTATGTTCTTACAAAAATTTTTTTCAAATAACCTATCAAAAAATATAGTCTATACATATTTAAATGTACCCACATGAGTAACAGCTTCTTCAATCATCATTTATTATTTCATCTGAGTCTTTTCTTCTTTATTAAATTTCTTTTTCTGGACTAAGTCCTTTAAATAGTTCTTTCAGTGAAGGTCTACAACTGGTTAATTATTTCCACTTTTTGTCTGAAAATGTCCTTATTTAATCCTTAGTCTTAAAATATTATTTTGATATATAGAATTATAGTTTGGAGTTATTTTCTCTGAAAACTTGGATTTCTATTTCTATCGTTTTCAAAAAGTCTTCTATCAGTCTGTTATTTCCTTTTAGGAATCTGTCTTCCTTTTGAGTCATTTTTAAGATTTTTCTTTATCTTTGCTATTCTCGCTTCAGTTTTATATTCCTAGATGAAATTTTAAAAATCATGCTTAAGTTTCAGGCTCCTGTATGGAAGAATTCATACCTTTGATTCTGGAAAAGTACTGTACTTTTTATTAAGTATTGCCTTTCCACCCTTCTCTCTCTCTATGCAAGACAATTTTTTTACTTTATTTATTTATTTTTTTTTACTATTTTTCTTTTCTTTATTATACTTTAAGTTCTATGGTACATGTGCACAACATGCAGGTTTGTTACATATGTATACATGTGCCATGTTGGTGGGCTGCACCCATTAACTGGTCATTTACATTAGGTGTATCTCCTAATGCTTTCCCTCCCCCCTTCCCTCTCCCCACAACAGGCCCCAGTGTGTAATGTTCCCCTTCCTGTGTCCAAGTGTTCTTGCTGTTCAATTCCCACCTATGAGTGAGAACATGTGGTGTTTGGTTTTTTTGTTCTTGCGATGGTTTGCTGAGAATGATGGTTTCCAGCTTCATCCATGTCCCTACAAAGGACATGAACTCATCCTTTTTTATGGCTGCATAGTATTCCATGGTGTATATGTGTCGCATTTTCTTAATCCAGTCTATCATTGTTGGACGTTTGGGTTGGTTCCAGGTCTTTGCTATTGTGAATAGTGCCGCAATAAACATACTTCTATATGATTTATTCTGGACCTTCTTATTCTATTTTCCTTGTCTTTTTATCTCAGTTATATAATTATAATGTTTGGAAATCTTTTGCATTATTCTGGTAAATCTTCTTTGTTCCATAGTGTAATTCTCCACTGTCCTTTCAACTGTATGTATCAACTGAGTTTTAATCTCAAAAACTACATTTTTCATTTATGGATGTTCTGTTTCTATTAAATGTATTTCATACTTTTCATGAGCTTTCATTTATCTCATGTTTTTCTTTATTCTTAACCACTTTTAACATCTTTATTTGATAGACATGATATGAAAGCCTCAAATATGAAGTATTCATTGTCAGCTAAAATTTGTTCATGGTAGATTATTTTCTCAATTATTCTATTATTTTGGCTTATAAGTATTTTCAGTGACACGTTACTTATAGGAATTTTCTTTGACTGGCTGGAGATACATACCTGTCAAACAGTTTTAATTTAGCTCCTTCCATGAACCCCAGAAGTATCATCTACCTATTTTTAAGATTTTTCATTCATTTTTATTCTTATTTTATTATTTTCTTCTTGTTACTTACTTTGGCTTTGATTTGTTAATCTTTATCAACTTTCTTATGAAAGAAAATTAATTAGATCATTGACTTTACAACAATTTTCTTTTTTAATATAAGCATTTAAAACTGTTTACCGAGTAGTCATTCAGGAGCAGTTTGTTCAGTTTCCATGTCGTTGTGTGGTTTTGAGCGAGTTTCTTAATCTTAAATTCTAATTTGATTGCACTGTGGTCTGAGAGACTGTTTGTTATGATTTCCATTCTTTTGCATTTGCTGAGGAGTGTTTTACTTCCCATTATGTGGCCAATTTTAGAATAAGTTCGATATGGTGCTGAGAAGAATGTATATTTTGTTCATTTGTGGTGGAGAGTTCTGTAGATGTCTATTAGGTCTGCTTGGTCCAGAACTGTTTTAGTTTCTCTCTAAGTACTGCTTCAATTGCATTCATACAAACTTTTATATATTGCATTTTCATTTTTATTGTGAAATATGTCATAATTCCATTTATGCTTTCACTTTTTTGGGGAGGAGGGGCGGAGTCTTGCTCTGTCACCAGGCTGGAGCGCAGTGGCGCGATCTCGGCTCACTGCAACCTCTGCCTCCCGGGTTCAAGTGATTCTCCTGCCTCAGCCTCCTGAGAATCTGGGACTACAGGCATGTGCCACCACGCCCAGCTAATTCTTGTATTTTTACTACAGATGGGGTTTCACCATGTTGGTCAGGATGCTCTCGATCTTTTGACCTTGTGATTTGCCCACCTTGGCCTCCCAAAGTGCTGGGATTACAGGCGTGAGCCATCGCACCCAGCCTATGCTTTCACTATTAAACCATGGATTGTTCAGGAGTGTGTGATTTAGATGACAAATATTGAAGAATTTTATTCTAGAGCTCTTACTATAGTAATATTTAATTTAAAGGCATTGTCGTCAGAAAATATACTTTATAAAATTTTAGTTTTATGAAATGTATTGACATTTATTTTATGGCATAGCACATGTTCTGTCTTGTTGAGTGTTCTTTTGCACCAAATGTGTATTAAGAAGTTGTTCGATCTAATGTTCTATGACTATCAATTAGGTCAAATCAGTTTATGCCGTTATTGTTATTTTGTTTAATAGTTATTTTAATTACCAGGAAAGCATTGTTAAAATCTCTCACCATAGTTTTGCATTTGTATATTTCTCCCTTTAGGTATGTCTATTTTTGCCTCATGAATTTTTAAGCTTTATTATTAGGCATATACATGTTTAGGATTGTTATAGCTTCTTTATGTATTTTTCCTTTTATCATCATAAAATGTTATTCTTTATCTTGGTAATAATTCTTAGTTTGAAATACTCTTGGTATGGCATTTATATTTATACTGTTTGAAATATACATATACTTTGTATAATATTAATATACTTCCACTGTTTTTCTTATATCTACAAGTTGCAGGATATATGTTTTTCCATTTTTAAATTTTCTCCCTGTCTGTAAAATCAAACTACTTTAGAAGTAACATAAAGTTGGACCTTGCTTTCTTTTTTTTTTTTTTTTTTTTTGAGACGGAGTCTCGCTCTGTCGCCCAGGCTGGAGTGCAGTGGCGGGATCTCGGCTCACTGCAAGCTCCGCCTCCCGGGTTCATGCCATTCTCCTGCCTCAGCCTCCCAAGTAGCTGGGACTACAGGCGCCCGCCACCACGCCCGGCTAATTTTTTGTATTTTTAGTAGAGACGGGGTTTCACCGTTTTAGCCGGGATGGTCTCGATCTCCTGACCTCGTGATCCGCCCACCTCGGCCTCCCAAAGTGCTGGGATTACAGGCGTGAGCCACCGCGCCCGGCGGGCCTTGCTTTCTTAACCAGTCTCATAATATGTACCTTTTAATAGAAGTATTTATTCAGGAGTTCATAATGTCAATATTAATATGACTGGGCTCTAGACTACCATTTTACATTTTTATGCTTTCTCATTTCTTTTTGTTCTTTAGTTACTCCTACCATGAATTATTTTGGTATGATTTTTAAATTATTCTATGTTCTTTCCTCTGATTTTAAATAGAATTTTTTACTATTTTAGTGGTACTTAAAAGATTACAATATGCATCTCTAACTTATCATAGTCTCCTTAGAGCTCACAGTATACTATTTAATATAAAATTTTAAAATCTTGCAACAGTAAAATTCTATTTACCTACCTTGTCAGATATTTATCTATCCTCCTGCCATTTTGTCATTTTTTAAATATTTGTACCTGTTATAAACTCAAAATTATGGCATTATATTTTTAAATAAATTTTCAATCATCTGTTAAGACAAAGAAAAGCAAGGATTTCTTTTTAAACAGTCTTATTTTCAAAGATGGTGGATCAGAGAGGTTTTTACCATGCCTCAGCCATTTGGAAAAGCATGAAGATCAATTCTGTGAGCTTTAATTCAAGAAGGTAAACAGGATTCCACCAGAATCATGAAGGACATCCCAGATTCCAGGAAGGAAAATGCAACCCAACAGCCCCCATACAAGCATCCAGCAGATAAAAGTGAGTGAATTCCCAGTGCGTGAGAAAGGCAGAGAAGCTCCCTCTGTGATTCACCTTTCCACTGGGGATCTGAGCAGCCCAGGCCGAGGGAGAGCACTTTTTTTCTCCTAAGCCCTGGAACTAACTTGGGGAGAAGTTTGGAGACGCTGTGAAGAAAAGTCACAGGGAAAAGCCACAGCATTTTCCCAGACCAGAGAGCAAGATGCCATTTTTAATCAGGATGCATACAAAGTCAGCCAATCTTGGGCAACCTGGCAGTGTGGTCATGCAGACATTTTAGTTTTGGCCTGAAGATTGAAGTGCCTGCTCTAGAGAAGAGTAGGGGCCTCCACAGCTAGACCCCTGGAAAGTGCCTCAGCAACAGGTGTTGGAATGGTGCTCATCTTTGTCACATTCCTGGGGGGAAGGAATGCTGCTACAGTTGCAGTTTCTCCTGAAAGACAAGAGGAAAGTTTACCGTGCTGAAGGCTTACCTCAAAAAGTTAAAAAGATTTCAAACTATCAATCTAGCATCACACTTAGAGTAACTAAAAAAACAAGAACAAAGTAACTCCACAGCTAGCAGAAGAAAAGAAATAACTAAAATCAGAGCAGAACTGAATAAAATTGATACCTAAAAATGCAAACAAAGGATTGACAAAACCAAAAGTTGTTTCTTTGAAATGGTAAACACGATTGATAGACCACCCTATATTTACAAAGAAAATCAGAAATGAAATGAATCATCAGAAATGGAAAATGTGACATTAGACCTAATCTCACAGAAGCACAAAATACCCTCAGAGACTATCATGGACACCTCTATGCAAACACACTAGAAAATCTGGAGGAAATGAACAAATTCTTGGAAACATACAATTTCCCAAGGCTTAATCAGTAAGAAATTGAAACACTAAACAGACCAATAGAGAGTTTCAAAATTGAATCAGTAATAAAGCCTACTAGCCCCCACAAAAGCCCCATGTCAGATGGATTCATGGTCAAATTCTACCAGATGTACAAAGAAGAGCTGGCACAAATCCTACTGAAACTATACCAAAAAACTGAGAAGTAGGACACCTCCCTAACTTATTCTATGAAGCCAACATCACCCTTATACTAAAACCCAGCAAAGACACAACGAAAAAAGAAAACTACAGGCCAATATTCCTGATGAACATAGATGTAAAAATCGTCAACAAGATACTAGCAAACCAAATCCAGCAGCACATCAAAATATTAATTCACCATGACAAAATAGGCTTCATTCCTGAGATGCAAGGCTAGTTCAACATATTCAAATCAAGAAATGTGATTCACCACATAAACAAAATTAAAAACAAAAAACATAGGATCATCTCAATATACATAGAAAAAGCTTTTGATAAAATCCAACATTCCTTCATGATAAAAAAAAAAATCTCCAGAAACCAGACGTTTAAGAAATACACATCAAAATAACAAGAGCCATCTATGACAAACCCACAGCCACATCATACTGAATGGACAAAAACTGGAAGCATTCCTTTTAAGAACTAGAACAAGACAAGAATGCCCACTCCCACCACTCCTACTCAATATAATACTGGCAGTCCTAGCCAGAGCAATCAGACAAGAAAAAGAAATAAAAGGCATCCTAATAGGAAAAAAAGAAATGATCTCTCTTCACTGACAATATGATTTTATACCTAGATAACCCCAAAGACTCCACCAAAATGCTCCTGGAACTGACAAATAACTTTAGTAAAGTTTCAGGATACAAAATCAATGTACAAAAATCAATAGCATTTTTATACATTAATAATATTCAAGCTAAGAGCCAAATCAAGAATGCAATCCTATTTACACTTGCCACAGAAAAACTAGGAATACTTCTAACCAAGATGGTAAAAGATCTCTCCAAGGAGAACTACAAAATATTGCTGAAATAAACCTTAGATAACACAAAAAGAATTCCATCTCATGGATTGGAAGAATCAATATCATTAAAGTAACCATACTGCCTATGGCAATCTATAGATCCAATGCTATTCCTATCAAGCTATCAACATAATTTTAGAAAAAATTATTCTCTAATTCATGTGGAACCAAAATGAGCCTGAGTAGCCAAAGCAATCTTAAGCAAAAAGGGCAAAGCTGGAGGCATCATATTACCAGACTTTAAACTGTGCTGTAAGGCTACAGTAACCAAAATAGCATGGTACTGGTACAAAAACAGGTACATAGAAAAATGGAAAGGAATAAAGAACACAGAAACAAAGCCACACATCTACAGCCATCTGATCTTTGATAAAGTCAACAAAAAAGAACAATGGGGACAGAAATCCGTATTCAATAAATGATGCTTGGATAGCTGGCAAGCCATATGCAGAAGAATGAAATGGACTCCTACCTATCACTACATATAAAAATTAACTCAAGATGGATTAAAGACTTAAAGGTAAGGCCTCAAACTTTAAAAATCCTAGAAGAAACTTTAGGAAATACCATTCTGGACATCAGCCTTAGCAAAAAATTTATGAGTAAGTCCTCAAAAGCAATTGCAACAAAAACAAAAATTGACAAGTGGAACCTTATTAAACTGCTCTTATCAACAGAGTAAACAGACAACCTATAGAATGAGAGAAAATATTCACAAACTATTCATCCAAGAAAGGGCTAATATCCATAATCTATAAAGGAACTTATACAACTGAACAAGCAAAAACCAAATAATCCTGTTAAAAATGGGCAAAAGGGGAGACTGAGGCAGGATAATTGCTTCAACCCAGGAGGCAGAGGTTGCAGTGAGCCGAGATTATGCCACTGCACTGCAACCTGGTGACAGAGCAAGACTCCATCTCCAAAAAATAAGTAAATAAATAAATAAATTGTCAGAAGACATGAACAACCACTTCTCAAAGGAAGACATCCAAGGGGTTGACAAATATATAAAAATGCTCAACATCACTAATCATCAGAGAAATGCAAATCAAAACCACAATGAGATACCACTTCACACCAGTCAGTTTTATTAAAAAGTCAAAAAATAACAGATGCTGACAAGACTTCAGAGAAAAAGGAAATGTTTATACACTGTTGGTGAGAATGTAAATTAGGCCAGCCACTCTGGAAAGTAGTTTGGAGATTTGTCAAAGAACTTAAAACGGAACTACCATTTGACTCAGCAATCCCATTACTGGGTATATACGCAAAGGAAAATAAATCATTTTACCAAAAAGACACATGTACTTGTATGTTCATCACAGCACTAGTCAAAAGCAAAGACATGAAATAAACCTAAGTGCCCATCAACAGTGGATTGGATAAATAACATGTGGTACATACACACCATGGAATACTATGCAGCCATAAAAAAGAACAACATCATGTTCTTTGCAGCAACTTGGATGCAGCTGGAGGCCATTATCCTACGTGAATTAACACAAGAACAGAAAAACAAATACCACATGTCTCACTTATAAGTGGGAACTAAGCAATGAGTATTCATGGACATAAAGATGGCAATAGTAGACACTGAGGACTACTAGAAGCAGGAAGGAGAGAAGAAGGCAAGGGCTGAAAAACTAACTATTGGGTGCTATGCTCAGTATCTGGGTTATGGAATCCACCATACCCCAAACCTCAGCATCATACAATATACCCAGGTATCAACCTGCACATGTACCTCCTGAAATACAATAAAAGTTGAAGTTAATTTTAGAAAACAGTTTTATTGAGATATAATTTATGCACCATACTATTTCCCCATTTAAAGCATACATTTAAGAATTTTTAGTGTATTCAGAGTCGCAAAACCATCACCACAATCAATTTAGAACATTTTCACATATTTGTTCTAATACATATTTGTCCAAATATTTGTCGTGCAGCTGCTCTTTATTCCTTCTTGTATAACCAGATTTCTGTCTGGCATCATTTTCCTACAACCTGAAGAACTTCTTTTACCATCTCTTTAAGTTGAAGTCTGATGGTGATTCATTCTCTCACCTTTCATTTATCTGAAAACTCATTTCATCTTCTTACTGAAGAAGTTTGTTGGATATAGATTTTTGAGGGTTTCTTTTAGATTTTTGATTTTCTTTTCCTTTCAGAGACACTCAGTATCTTGTTCACTATATGGTATGTTTACTTTCAAGATTTTTTTAATTTTGGGTTTAGCATTTTGGCCATGTTATGTGGAGATGTGGTGTGGTTAGTTTGTTTGCTTCTTCACTTATCAAGTTTGGAGTTCTATGTGTTTCCTGAATCTATGAAGTAATGGGGGGTTACACAACTTGGTAAGTTGGGGACTATTATTTCTTCAATTAATTTTATTCTCCATTATCTCCCTCTCTGCCTTTGGGAAGTTCAATTACACATGTTAGAATATTCCATATTGTCCGAAATTGCCCCACAAGTCACTGAGTCTGTGTTTTTAAATCCTTTTTTTCTCTTCAAATCAGATGATTTCTGTTGATAATTCTTCAAATTGACTGAATTTTTTTTGCCTTCTCTAATTTGCTATTAAGTCCAATTCATCTCATTTTCAATTTAAATCACTTTTTTCATTTTATTTTCATTTGGCTTTTTGTATATTTTCCATTTCTTTACCAGGATACCATACCTACTCACTTGCTGTGACTATCTTTTACTGTAAGTTCACATTGATTTTACAATTTGTATTTTAAATTTTTTGCTTTAAAACTTTTTTGCTTTAAATTTTTTAAAATTTGTTATCTATTAATTCTAACATTGGGGAGGTTTTATAGTCTGTGCCTAGTGACTGCTTTTCCTCTTGATTCTGTCATCTTTTACTTAACTTTTCCCATGTGCAGTAATTTTATGTTGTATACTGGGCATTGTGGTTGACACTACAGAGAGATTCTTGACTTTGTTATTCTATTCTGAAGAGTGTTTACTTTTGTTCTTGAATGTAATTTAATTACTTACTCATCACCCTGCACATGTGGAGGCTACATGTTTGTTATCATACCAAATGTCCAGGTTTTCTTTTCATCTTAGAACTCATCTTTATTGTTGGGACATAACAGTTTTTCCTAAGTTATGGTCTCTCTTGGATTTCCATGGAAAGGCCAAGTTCTTTTAACTTGACAAGATTCAAACATCCAACTCTGTTTTTACTCAGTTAAAACTCTGCTTAGATTTTTCAGCCTTAATGTTTTTGCGTTCTTCCATCCTCCTGGTATTCTCTTGCACAGCTCATGGGCAAGCCAAGCATATGAGGGTAGTAGATATTTGATTTGTGTGCTCTTTCCTCTGTATCTCCCTCCTTTCAAGATTTTTTTCCTCCATTTCCAGTCTCTTTGACAACCCTGAACTCCATATTTTCACATCTTATCCTAATAAAACAGTACTGTTTTTTCTGCTTGAATTCTAGCTATCACCGCAATATGTGGACTAGGGATTGTTTTTAGGAGAAAAATGGTGTGAATGTAGCTCTCAGTGAATTTTTTTTTCTTTCCAGGGTCAAATTTCCTCCAGGTTCAATCAGTTTCCTCCTGATTTTGCTTATTCTTCAGTGACTTCTAATAGCTGTGCTTTAAAAAGTATTTCATTCAGAGTTTATAATTGTTATGTTCGAGAGGATTAGTCTGATGACAGATATTACACTATTTCTGGATCGGGCTCCATAAACTATGTTTAAATATTAATTGGGCTTATGGGTTTATGGTTTACTAAATCAAGTAGGCAATATGTATTCAAACCACAAACTACATGAAGATAGGCCTGTGGTTACAAATTCTCAGGTATAACTCTTCCTTTGTACCCAGAACTCAGGCTGAGATAGACAAATTCATTTGTCATCTGACTGTGCAAAGGTAAAATTTTCTACTCACTCTTTCACTGACGGTATTTCAAAAGTCCGAATTCCATATAAAATCTCCAACTCAGCAATTAGCCTTGCATCACATGACATACCTGAACTCCTGTCCCTGTGAGGCCATTTAAGCCCAATCTTTTTGGTTCTTGATGTAAGTAGCTCCTGCTATGGCAACTAGAGAGACAGTTTACCATGTTTATTTTCCAGTTTCCTCTTGGTTTATTTCCAGTTCAAACTATTTACTTAATATACCATTTTGAGATCTAATAGGACCTTCAAACATTATATACTGAAAATAGAGCTCCTGAATTTTTCTATCAATTCTCTTTCCTCCAAACTTCTACATCCCAGTAAATAACACTATTATTCATCTCCTTTCCCAAGTTCTTTCAATAGTCCTCCAAAATGCATCTTAAATCAGCCCACTTAACTCTTCACTAACATCATTCTAACATCAGACCTTAGCATCTTTTATTTGGTTTGTTGCAATGCCTCCAACTAGGCTCCTTATTCTATCCTTCTCTGACATATCCTCCACGAGCAGCCCAACTAAATATATTAAATAAGGACCATATTATAACACTTCCCTGCTTAAAGCAGTTTAATACTGCTACATTGTTTTTAGTGTAAAATGCAAACTCTTACATGGGTCATAAGATTCAGCGTGATCAGAATCACACGTGTCTCTTCAATCTCAGCTTGCATCACTCTTCCCATCTCTCAGTTCATACTGGCTGGCACCCTAGTCTTCAAACACTTCCTTTTACCCACAACTTGGAAGAGTAGTTTTGCATGTTGGAGAGTGGAAGTAGCTTATGCCTAAGTTCTGATCACAGACACGGTGATGGTAACATCCTCTGACGTGGTAACAGAACATGTGACCCCAGCCCACAAGATGAGAAAAACTCTGGCTTGGCCAACTCTGGTTTTAAAGGTTGGAGAGATGTGGAAATTTGCACTTGTAGTTGCTGCTATTTTTGGAACCAATGAAAAAGTTTCACAGATTATTAACTTTTAGTAGTTGAAGATTTTTAGATTGAAAGATTGCTGGGAGAGACAACCTCGCCATCTGATTAACGGCATGAATTTCTTCTTTATAATGTTCAACTACAGTATGAATTGGCAAACATTTTCTCTAAAGCTCAACACAGTAAATATTTTAAGCTTTACAGGGTAGGTATTCTCTGTTGCAGCCACTCAACTCTAGTGTTTAGTGCAAAACTGACCACTGAAAATATGTAAGTAAATGAGTGTGGCTATGTACCAATAAACCTTATTCATGAACACAGAAGTTTGGATTTCGTATAGCTCTCCTGTGTCATGAAATATTATACTTCCTTTGACATTTTTCCAATTATTCTAAAACAGTAAAAACCATTCTTATCTTGCAGGCCATACCAAACAGGTGCTGGACCAGACCTGGACTCCCTGGGGCCACAGAGCTTCATTTGAACTAAGTAGAAGACTGCTCTGGTTAGGTATGTCTTTGAGGCTGTGAGGTAGGCTGCGACAGGTTTACTTTTCTCCTGGGACTCTGAAACTCTAACATATTCCAGGATAGTGGCGTTGCTGGCAATCTGTGGTCCTAGTGCATCCCAGAGCATTTCAAAATGAGGCCCCAGTCTTAAATTCTAACTGTAAAGCTACCACCCCAAGTCAGAACCCAGAAAGTTTTCTCTGGTTGTCCACTGCAACAATCAGAGAAAGTTATGAGTTAGCCAGAGGATGAGAGTGCCGCCTTCAGTCTACCGCCTGTTGACATAATTTTAGTTGAGAGTGGGCAAGAAGACTTCTCTGGGCAGTGTTTTCAACAAGACCACAGGGAATGGGAAACCAGGGGCATCCTATATCCTGCCTCCCAAAACTATCTGGAGCTTAGGAAAATGTTGAAAGAAGCATGTTATAGCAAAAGGAGCATATACTTGGGCAGTGTATAGGGTTGGGTTTGAAACTACCAGAAATACCTCTCATTGCGAACCCAGAGAAAATTGTGCCAGCTCTCTGAATTTTCATGTCTTCATGTCTGAGGTGAATGTAGTGATGCCCACCTAGGCTCCAAGGGCCTTGGGCATAGTGCAAGCCTGGTTAATGACTTTCAGTCAGTCCTGCAATATGTATATTTATCAGGTGCCTTAATCTGCACAAAACACTGCTCTTAAAAGCAAATTAGACGTAGTATTTGTTTTCATGGAGTTTACAGTGTAGCAGAGAAGACAAAATTAAGTGAACATTAAGAATAAAATAAGAAGTGCTATGACAGAAGAAAAATAGGCAGCTCTGAGGACATGTGCCAGGAAGGCCAACTGCTCTAAGGAGCCAGGGAAGTTGCCCTAGAGATAATGCTTAAGCTGAAGCCTTGAGAAAGAAGAGGTAATTTAATCATGGCCCAGTGAGACAAGGGACACATGCGAGGTCTGGGGGGCCTTTGAACACTTAACAAATATTCACATTGTTTTCAGGAGCTACAGACCCAGATTACATTTTTTAAGAGAGGAAGAAATGGTTGGCTGTAATATTAAAACTAAAGCTAACCAGTCATGGGCTCCTCGGAGATTACCTCTTCTTTCTTCTAAAGCAGAGCAAAATTAAATGTCCAACAATGATAGACTGGATTAAGAAAATGTGGCACATATACACCATGGAATACTATGCAGCCATAAAAAATGATGAGTTCATGTCCTTTGTAGGGACATGGATGAAGCTGGAAACCATCATTCTGAGCAAACTATCGCAAGGGCAGAAACCAAACACTGCATGTTCTCACTCATAGGTGGGAACTGAACAATGAGAACACATCGACACAGGAAGGGGAACATCACACACCGGGGCCTGTTGTAGGGTGGGAGGAGGGGGGAGGGATGGCATTAGGAGAAATCCTTAATGTAAATGACCAGTTAATAGATGCAGCCCACCAACATGGCACATGTATACATAAGTAACAAACCTGCACATTGTGCACATGTACCATAGAACTTAAAGTATAATTAAAAAATTGTAGCAGGAAAACAGCTTTGCTGTTTTCAGTAATAGGGAGAGGGTTAACATTTAGCTCGACAAGGATTCATTTCCTTTAGGCTTCTAAAAAGTTTGCAATTCAGGAATATTGATCTCTCTAAAGTAGAATGTTGGCCTTTAGTAAGCAATAAAAGAAAAGCATAAACAATCTTTTCCCTGCCAAATAATTTTGTTTTAGTATCTAAGCACCCCATGCCTCTGTGAAGGCTCCAGGACGGGCCATTCATCAGTGTCTCCAGCAAGTATACTGAAATACCTGGGGGAAAAAAAAAGAAAAAACAACATGCCTTACTGATGAGGCATCAGAAATTTTTGATTTCCATTTTATGACTTCTAGTACTAATAATTCTAACTTTTATAGCCAAATAAATTTGAAACATCAGAATACAATCTTTAGAAATAATTAATGTTAATATGTTCTAAATAATTTATATATTTACTCTTACTTCTGTCACCTCCACCCTCAAAGAGAAGCACATATGAGCCTTGTTTGATCGTGTAGCCAGGGTCTCTTCCCTTAATCTCAATGCATTTGAGTAGCTTTTTAACATTCTAATCACATTCATACTAAACCTTTAACCACCCCAATTCACACTGTTTCTACATAACCTAGTGCTTCACCAATACTGATTTCTAGAACCTTAAGGAAGGATCCTGAACGATGATGAAATCATTTGAATATTCCCTTCACGGGATATAGAAACATTTTTATAAAGAATGCCAGTTCCATTAAGGCCAGTCAATAAAATAAATAATAAACTAACGGAACATGCTAATGTAATCTCATATCACTTGCTCTGATGTCGTGTTACATGCGTATTAGCTCTCATTGCTAAACTTGTGAAAAAACAAAATTTGAGGAGAGATTTTTTTAAATGCACAAAAGAAGAATACAATAGAAAGAAACAGATTTGTGGCTATTTCTGTTTTACAAATACCAAATAGTTTACAAGCCCATATTTTAATCCCATTTTTCTCCCACACAAGAAAAACCCAGGAGTAAAGAGAGCTGAATCGGCATCATTACTCAGTCTAGGTTTCAAATCCATGCTCTGTGATGAATGGGCGGTTTTCAGGTTATTTACAGTGCGACGGAAAGAAAACTGAGCAGGAAAGGAGCAGTAGTTTTTCCTAGTACAAGTCCTGCCTCTAACATGCTGGGTAAACTTGGGCTAGCCACTAATATGTTTAGATCTCAGTTTTCTTTCCACTTCATGATGACCACAGCAAATGCAACTGAATTCCCTAAGTGCTGTGAATATTAGTTGGTGCAAAAGTTATTGCTGGTTTTGCCATTAAAAGTAATGGCATTCAAAGTAATGGCAAAACCAGCAATTACTTTTGCACCAAAATAATAACTTTTCCCAGAGCACCCTGACCACGTGTTGCAAACTTTCTGCAGCTAATTTTTGGTGAGCACTTTCTTTTTTGTTTGTTTTGGTTTCTTTTTGTTGTTGGTTTTTGGGTTTTTTTTTTCTTTTTGGAGACAGGATCTCACTCTGTCTCCCAGGCTGGAGTGCAGTGGTGCAATCATAACTCACTGCAGCCTTGACCTCCTGAGCTCAAGCAGTCCTCTCACCTCAGCCTCCTAAGTAGCTGGGACTGCAGGCGTGTGCCACCATGCCTGACTGATTTTTTTGTCTTCTTACTTTTTGTAGAGACAGGATCTCACTATGTTGCCCAGGCTGGTCTCAAACTCCTGAGCTCAAGCAGTCCACCTGCCTCAGCCTCCCAAAGTGTTAGGATTACAGGCGTGAGCCTCTGTGCCCAGCCTATGAGCACTCTTGCTGTCAAGAAAGATTACACTTGCAACTCCACAGGCAGAAGAGTATAGTAAATACAGAGATCTCCTCTTAGCTGCGGTTCCATTACCTACAGTTAACAGCAGACTGAAATCCGTGTCAGTACAATAACATATTTTGGGAGAGAGAGAGATCATATTCACATAACTTTAATTACAGTATATTGTTATAATTACTCTAGTTTATTATTAGTTATTGTTAACCTCTTACTGTGACTAATTTATGAATCAAACTTCATCACAGGTATGTATGTGTAGGAAAAAACATAGTACGTATAGGGTTTAGTACTAGCCACAGTTTCAGTCATCCACTGGAGGTCCTGGAATGTATTCTCCAAGGATAAACGAGGAACTATTGTATATCAATTCATTTGATTTCTACTCAAGTATATTGATAAAAGTTTTGGTGGTAGCAACAGTTGAAGTTACTGAATGAAATTAATATTTATAAATTTATGCTGATCTCAGTGATTATTGATCAAGAACTGACAATACTTAAAGTGAAAATTAGAGACAAAACAAACATTTGAAAGTCAAAATGTTGCAGATATTCTCCTCACACTATAAAATCAAATACATAACAGATAGATTAAAGCAACAAATGTAAAAAAATTAGAAAACTAGAAAGAATAGACGCAAATATATTTTTTATTACATAAACAGGAAATTTTAAAGATATAAAAAATTAGCAAAGAAAAAATAAAAATGTACCTAAAGATTAAGAATTCCTGAGCCCTTAATAATAATAGTTGAACATTTAAAACAAATCATTTAAAAATGAGTAAAAGACATGACAAAGGATCAATATGTAAAAATATTTTATAAATCAATAAACATAACTAAAGCCCCAAAAGGTATGTGGATTAAAGGGCATGGGGAAATACAAGTGAATTATAAATATCTCAGAAATATTTATTTTTACCAGTTATATTTTAAAATGTAACCTGAATAACATAATTTAAAATATTAATAAGTGCAAAGTCAGAAGCAAGTGAAAATCCCTCCCATACAAGGCCTATCAGCTCCGTACTTCCTCCAGTATTTTCATAGTTGAAAACCTCAACATGATCTCAAATATCTTACTAATTTACCTAAGGATGCCTCTTTATGTGTCTTCTAAAATTTAAATAAATGTCACACTACCCATAATCCATTTTGTATGAAAGACTTTTTCAGTTACTCTTGTCCTGCCTGCACCATATAAGACTTCACTTACATTTGCAGGACACTTCACAAGTTAGGAAGCCTTCCTCCCAACCCAGTACAATAGATACTATAACACCAACTTTATAGGTGTAGAAATAGCTTCTCATAGGTTAATTCATTTGCTTAGTAAGATGAATTTAGGTGAAATTTATTTTATGTAATGCTACCTCCTATGTTTGTCATAACTTGCTGTTTTTCCATGTTTCCTCTGCTCCTTGGTGATACCAGATGTTTTTTCTCCAAGTGGAATACAAGTAAAGCAAAACTGTGTTTATCATCTTTAAAAATAAAATATAAAGATAACAAACACTAGGATCTGAAATTCATATAATTTGGGGAAGAAAAATCTAAAACTCTAATTGTAATCAATTTTCAGAATCTCATAGGTTGAAACACTGCTAAGTTTTATAATTTTTCTTTTACTAATTAAAATTGCTTAATTCAGTACTGAATTAAGAGATGATGCTTGATAAATGGGTAAATTAATTAACTCTAAAAATAAAAACCAGAAACTTTCAAATGGAAAAACACTCATTTATGACTAGGAGTAAGGTGAATAAGAGACAAATAGCTCCAAAGTAAATTCTTCCCAGAGTGTTACAAAATTTATATTAAAATCAATTCATTATTTATAATAATTAACTCTTTTTAAATTTAACTTTTAATTTTTAGACAATTCTAGACTTACTTGTAGGTCTAAGATATAATACAGAGAGGTCCCATGTACTCTTTATCCAGATTACCCAATGATAATTTCTTTCAAAATAACAGTGCATTGCCACAATCATGATATTGACAATGTGCACTCAAGATACAGAACAATTTCATCACCAAATAATCTATTTCGATACCTTGTATAGTCACATCTGCTTCCATCTGGGCCTCCCTCTCACCTCTGGGAACTTCATTTATTGTCTATTTCTATAATTTTATCATTTTAATAATTCTTTATAAGTAGAGTTCTATAAGGTACAGTCCTTCGGATGAGCTTTTTCCCCAGCATCATTCTCTAGAGATTCATCCAAGGTGTTGTACATGTAAATAGTTTGTTCTTTCTTACTGCAAGTAGTATTCTGTGGTATGGACATAGCACAGTTAGTTTAACCATTCACTGAGTGAAAGACATCTGGGTTGTTTCCAGTTTGGCATGATTATGAATAAAGCTGCTGTGAACATCCAGGTACAAAGTTTTGTGTGAACGCAAGTTTCATTTTTGGCATAAATGGCCAAGAATACAATTGCTGGGTCACATGTTGGCTGCACGTTTCATTTTTTATTTCATTTGATAAACTATTTTCCAGTGTAACTACACTGTTTTACATTACCATCAGCAATGTGTAAGTGTTCCGGTTTCTCCACATCCTCAGTAGCTTTTGTAATTTTAATGTGTGTTTACCTGAAGGCTAAAGATGTTGAATATCTTTCATATGTTTATTTGCCATCTGTATATCCTCTTTGGTAAGATTTCTACTCATGCCTTTGCATATTTTCTAATTGAATTTTTTAATGGTTGAATTTTGAACAATTTTACATATCCTAGATATTAGTACTTTGATTAAAATGTAGTTTTCAAATATTTTCTCCCATTTTTAGTTTATTATTCCTAACAGGGCCGTTTGCAAAGTAAAGGTTTAAATTTTAATGAGGTTTAAATTATTGTTTTTTTCCTTTTCTGAATTGTGCTTTTAATGTCAAGTCTAAGAACATTTTGCCTAGCCTTAGATATCAAAGATTTTCTCCTATTTTTTTCTAGGAGTTTTATTATTTAAAATTTTACTTTTAGGTCTGTGATTAACTGTGAGATAATTTTTGTATAAAGTGTGGGAATTGGGTTGAAGTTCACCTTTTAGTCTATGGATGTTCAATTACTCCAGCATCAGTTGCTGAAAAGGATATCCTTCCACCATTGAATTACTTTCGCACCTTTGCTAAAACTCATTTGAGCATATTTGTGTGGGGCTACTTCTCAGTTCTTGAATCTGTTCCATTTGTCTATGTGACTATTCCTTCACTAATACTACACAGTCTTAATTACCGAAGGTACATAGTAAGTCTTGAAATCAAGTAGACTGGCTCTTCCCACTTTATTATTCTTTTTCAAAATTATTTTAGTTATTTAAGTTTTTTTTATTTCCTTATAAATTTTAGGGTAAGTCCATTGATATCTATAATTACAAAAGAGTCAATCCACCAAGTAAGACATAGCAAAGTATATACACACACACCAAAAAAAAAAAAAACAGAGCTGCAAAATATGTAAAGAAAAAATGGATTGAGCTGGAAAGATAAATAGGCAAAACCAAATTTTGTAATTTTGATAAGAATCATATTAAACTTGTATAAGAATTGCATTAAACCTCAATTTGAGAACTGACATCTTTAATATGTTAAATCTTTCAATCCATGAACATGGTATGAGTTTCTTATACAATGTATATGGTTGGTCATTTTTTAATCAATTATTGTCCATTTCTGTCTTAGTTGGTGTATGTAGACTATTTACATTAAATGTAATATTATTGACATCTGAAGTCTTCCATTTTTGTCTTCCATTTATCTTTTCTGATTTTCCTTTCTGTTTTTTCCTTCCTGTTATTTAAACATTCATTTAGAACCTTGTTTTGACTCATCTACAATGCTTTTTATTCTCTTTGTGTAGCTTTCTTAATGGTTACTCTAGGGAGATATATATATATATATATATATATATATATATATATATATATATATATATATATATATTAGCACAGTCTACTGGTGTCAACCTTTCACCAGGTCAAGTGAGGTTTGGAAAATTTACCTCTCTTTACCATCACACATCTACAATTTTCTTACATATTTCTTCTATACACATTTAGGTACACATCAGAAAGCACAATAGTTTTTGCTTTACATATCAAATAAATTTAGAAAACTCAAGAGAGGTAGCATGTATTGTATTTATGCAGATTTTTCTCTTTCCGTTATTCTTTCTTCCTTCCTGATTGATATGATTTGTCCCTGGATCCCCACCCAAATTGCATGTTGAATTGTTATCTCTACATGTTGATGAGGGGCCTGCTGAGCGGTGATTGGATCATGGGGGCAGTTTCTAGTAGTTTAGCACCCTTCCCCTAGTGCTGTCTCATGAGTGAGTTCTCAGGAGAGCTGGTTGTTGAAATGTGTGTAGCACTTCCTTCTCTTTCTCTCTCCTGCTGCCATGTGAAGAAAGTACTTGCTTCCCCTTCGCCTTCTGTCATGATTATAAGTTTCCTGAGGCCTCCCAGTCCTGCTTCCTTTTAAGCCTATGGAACTATAACTCAATTAACCTCTTTTCTTCACATATTACTCAGTCTCAGGTAGTTCTTTATAGCAGTGTGAGAACAGTCTAGTACACTGATGTTCCAAGTTTCCTTCTCGTATCTTTTCCTTTCGTTGTAAAGAATTTCTTTTACTGTTCTTTTAGGAAAGAACTGCTGGTGAGAGTTTCCCCTTCATCTTGATTTCTTCTTCATCCCTGAAGGATATTTTCAGTGTATAGAATTCTAGGTTGACAATTGCTTTCTTTCAGGTTGGGACTTCAAAAATGGTGTGCCCCTTCCTCTGGGTTTTCTAGTTTCTGATGAGGAATCATTGTCATTTGAATTTTAGTTTCCCTACATGTAAAATATATTTTCTCTTTTGTGACTTACAAGATGTTTTGTCCTTAGTTTTTAGATGTTTGACTATGATGTGTCCTGATGTAGATTTATTTGGATGTGAACTGTTCAGGGATTCTTCCAGCTACTTAAATCTGTAGATGTGTGAATCTTGTCTAAACTGAAAGTTATTAGCTGGGCACAGTGGTGTATGCCTGTAGTCCTAGCTATGCCGGAGGCTAAGGCAGGAGGATTACTTCAGCCCAGGAGTTTGAGACTGCAATGAGCTATAATTGTGCCACTGTACTCCAGTCTGGGTGACAGAGTGAGATCCTGTCTCTAAAAAAAAAAATTATAATAATTGCAGAAGTTTTCACCCATTATTTCTTTAATGCTTTTTCAGCTTTATCTTCTTTCTCCTGCCTTTCTGGGACTACAGTGACACAAATGTTAGATTTTAGCCAGGCACAGTGGCTCATACCTGTAATCCCAACACTTAGGGTGGCCAAGGCAAGAGGATCACTTGAATTCAGGAAGTTGAGACTCAGACCAGCCTGGACAACATAGCAATACCTCATCTCTACTAAAAGTAAAAAAAAAAAAAAAATAGCCAGGTTTGGTGTCACATGCCTGTAACTCCCAACTACTTAAGAGGCTGAGGTGGGAGGGTTTCTTGAGCCCAAGAGGTCAAGGTTGCAGTGAGCTATGATCACACCACTGCACTCCAGCCTGGGCAACAGAGCAAGATCCTCTCTCAACAACAGCAACAACAAAAAATTAGACTTTTAGATATTGTCCTAAAGGACCCTGAGGCTTTTCTTTCAGTCTATTTTCTCTTTCTTCAGATGGGGTAATTTTTATTTCTCTTCCTTCAGATTTACTGATTCTTTCCTTCCTCATACTCATTCTTCTGTTAATGAGCCAATCAGCTTGGTTTTTAAATTTTGGATAATCATATTTCTGCAGTTACAAAATTTCCATTTGGTTTTTTTTTATATTATTTATTTAGTTAATAAAACTATCTTTTTTATTTGTTTCAAGCATTTGTTTATAGTTTAATGAAACATTTTTGTGATAGCTACTTTAAAATCTTTGTCAGATAATTCCAACATTTCAGTGTTAGCACCTGTCGATTACATTTTTTCATTCAAGTTGATGTTTCCCTGGTTCTTGATATGGCAAGTAGTTTGTTTTTGAAACCTGGACACTTTGGGTATTTTATGAGACTCTGAATCTTATTTAAACCTTACTGGCTTCCTCTGACACCACTTCAGTAGAAGCAGGTGGGGAGAGCTGCCTCATTAGCACCAGATGGGGGTAGAAGTCCACATTTCCCATTCAGACTATGTTATAACCCCTACAGGGGAGAGGATCCTCAGTATTGCTGGACAGAAGCGGGAGGGGAGGCTTAGCTTCCCACTAGACCTCTGCAGCTATCACTCTGACTGGGAGTAGCAGGAGTGCCTCACTACTGTCCCCACACTGTCCCCACATAGCCTCCATTGACCCCCCAGGGCCTCAGTACTCCTCAGGACGGCAGCAAAAGTCCTGAATCTCCACTAGGCCTCCTATAGCACAAGCTTTATTCCTGTTGGGTGTGTAGGAAGTACAGGCTTCCCACATGGCCTCAAATGACACTGAGAAGTGGGGGTCTCACTGCTGGCTGGCAGGGGTAGAAGTCCAAGCTCTTTACTCTGCCTCTTCTGACACCACCCCATGGAGGGATTGAGGGTCCTGATAAGAGTGGAGGTCTAGGCTCCCCTTCACCTGGGTTGGCCATCATTTTTTCTGTGGTGTTTGGCAGCAGCAGTAGAGCAATTGTTATCTAAAAGTTTTCTATCTGGCTATACCGCTCCCTGCCCGGGCCTTTGTCTAGATAGAGAAGGCTTTTGTTGGGGCTCTTTTCGTCTATTCGTCTATGTCCATTGATGTTTACAGGGTGCTGATTTCTTTAGCTCCAAGTCTAGAAGACAGGAGGCAAAAAAGAAAATCTAGGGAACCCATCATTATGCTGTTTCTTGGGTTCCCACATCCCTAGAGAGTGCTTTCTTCTCCCCACTGTTCAGAGTCTTCTTCTTATTTTTTTTTACATATAATGTTCAAGGTTGTTAGTTGTACTTAGTGGGAGGAATAGGGAAAACTATATCTACTCCATCTTCCCAGAAGTGGAAGTTCCAACAATTAACTATTTAAGAAATTTGTCTGCCATTTATTTTTCTGAAATATTTAAGAACCTTTTAGATTTGCCAATTCCTCTAATTGAAGCAAATGTTTCAGGGAGGCAATCGGTAAAGAAAATGAAGCATCCATCTAGCATCATCCCACTGGGAGGAAAGAAGGAGACCAAAAGAAGGTAAACAATAGCAAAAAAATCTCTGAAGGAGTAAATCAAGATGGAGTTGATGGATAAGGAGGAATAAAACTACTCCAATTATCTGGAACTTACACTAAATGAAAAGCAAGTCTCCAAGATAGAAGCTGAGCATGACAAACAAATGCTGACAATATCAGGTAAACATGGAATGTTTCAGGTACACAATGCAAATTGTTATTAATCAGAATTAGTACTTGACAGATTGTATTTTAAGTGAGGATGTATATGGAAGCCATTAAGCCTTAATTGCTGGAAGGAATGGAGAAAAGGAAGGAAGGAGAGAGGGGTAAGGGAAGGAATGTTTTTGCTGTCTTCTATCTGCAATACTGAACCTAATCATAGAGCAGGTTGTGTCTCATGCAGTTAGGATGCCAAAAGTGATGCACCAATGAATATAATGGTGTTTTTAGCCCTGTTGCATGCTTTCCTGGGTCTTAGGTCTTTAAACATGGCTCTTCCTGGCATCCTTATCACTTTACTTAACTAGTCACTACAGGTAGTGCTTCAGTTCAACTATGAGGGATTCTTTCTCCCACAACTTCCCTACTCCAGGAACTTGGAAAGTGGATCATCTCTGACAGCTAAATTCCAAAACAAACACTTAGCAGATTGGAACATAATTATGCCAATTTATTATCAAAAGCCAGAATAGCTCTCAGGACAGCAATACCTGATTAAAATTAGAAAGATGCTGGACTACCTTAGAAACAGTGTGTCAAGAAGAAGGAGAATGATCAGTAATGCAAACAGAGAAAAGAGCAAGTGAGGAGCAAATTTTGGCCATGTCTTCTGCCCTGTGCACAGATGTTCTATCACCAGAGAGCAGAAACCTGGTCATGGGGCAGGATGTCCCATTAAGGGAATGAGCTCATGGGGCGGCCACATCAGCCTCCTCTTGCTAAGAGTGCCTGCTCCCTGAGACGCTCCTGATGGTAATTTGGCTTCCACGAAGACTTGTCTGCAAATAGAGAATAAGCTGTGCAGCGGAGCAAATTATCTACTCTGCTTTGAGTTCTTATTGTAAAGTAATAAATTGGTATTTTGGTTTTTAATCATCAGTCCCCGGTGAATTTTGTGTGAGTCCTCTCGCTCTAATACTTCTGAGAAGATGAACAATCACATTCTGATCCTGAAAAGCCAAGGACCACGGTAAGGCCAATGGGCCTCCTGCATTCTTAGGGAGACATGCCTTGTGGACAGCCGGTCTTCCTTGGGGATAACTCTCATTGCTTGTTCTCTTCAAACTGCAACAAGTAACCTCCACCTCCCTTCAGGTCAGACCCCTGGATGCCTTACACTTACCCCGTAGGCACCATCCAGCTGAGACACCACACGCAGGTTGCCAGGCTAGACCTTCACCAGGTGCTGCCGCTGGGTCTGAGTCCCAAACTTGCCTTATCCAAGTCAGCTACTTTCAGTTCCAGGTGCCAGCCCCTGACCATCGGCCTCCACCCACCATGGTCACCTGGACCGTGCTTGCCATTTCTCAGGACACAGCACTGGCCAGGAAGCAGCAAACACAATTATAATAGGTTGAATACTTTTAAGTACATTTACAATCTCCCCAAACATTATAAATCATTGTTATTGCAGACTTTGGGTCTGAGGCCCACTGAGAAAAACTTTTCAAGCAATTCAATGCTTTCAGCATTCAATACTGTCTAGTATTTAAGTGCATAATGGAATTGCATATGCAAGGAATGCTTATCAATATAATTGCAAACATGACCCACGAATCATGTAAAACAAGTCATAAATCATAACCTGCCAGTAAGTCTTGTCAAAGCATCAAAACACAACTCAAGATAAAAATCAGCTAATGCTGTTTCATGCTTGAATTCAGCTTCTAAACAGAGAACTGTTTGAGCTCACAGAGATGCAGGTAGGTTAATAAAGAGATACGTTTTTGTGTCCAGTAACTGAACCATATCAAATAATGACTGTATGAACCAGGGGTCTTCCAGGGAGTGGGGGTACTGCTTCTAGAGTTCACCATTACCCCACTTTCTTCCTCCCATTTGTAAGTTAAGGGCCATCCCTCAGGCCCTCAGCTGCTGGCCCTAGCACCTCAGCCCTCTCCCGACTCCATCCAGATCCAGGGCTCAAGTACTGAGCAATGTCAAAGGGTGAAAAAGAGTTCCAGATTTAGCAGCTACCACCGCATAATACCGGGCTGCCGGTGGGCCTGGGTTCCTTCCTTCTTCCACTGAAGTCCTCCACCTTGCCTGTTTCCAAACAGTTTCTAAGGTAATGGATTAAATGAAAAATACAAAATGTTATTACATTTTCACGTTTACAGACATAATAACATGCTAAACCTGAGAGATATTTCCACTTCAATGGACAAAAATATTTTCCCAATCTTTGGCCAGCCATGCTAGAAAAATTGCACAACGCTCCTTGTTTTTGTTGTCTTTCCTACACATTCAAGTGTAATTTACTTAAACCAGGATGTCTCAATCTTGTATCAGGTTCTATGAAGTGTTAGAAAAAAAAAATCTCAGATTCTAAGAAGTTTGGAAGTGCTCCATGAGATATCTAATGCTTATAGACTCACAGGAAACATTAGTACATTTAGAATCTTAAAAATTCTAAGCAGTCTTGTGGTAAAGAACCAATTAGATATATAATTAATTCTAATTATTGATTGATATGTTTGCATATGTATTTATGTGCATATGAAATATCTATTTCCAAAAACTTTATTGAGGTATGATACCCACAATAAAATGTACTCATTTTTATGCCATAGTGTAATTTGTTTTAATAAACATATACACCCATGAATCCACCACAACAAAAAAAATTGAACATTTCCATCACTTCCAAAAATTCTCTCATCATTCTCTCCATAAATCCATAACCCCAGTCTAATGACGAGAAGAACATTCCACAAACCCAAATCAAGCGACATTGCAAAAAAGACCTGACCAGTATTCTTCAAAACTGTCAAGTCATGAAAAACTAGGAAAGAATGAGAAACTGACCCAGACCACAGGAAGGGAAGGGAACATCACAACTAAACACAAGATCCTGGATTAGACCTTGGAGCAATAAAAAAGTATTAATGGAAAAACTGGTGAAATCGGAATAAGGGCTGGAGTTAACTTTAATAGCATTGTCCCTAAGTTGTTCCTCAGTTTTGATAAATATGTCACAGTAATGCACGATGATACCATGCGGGGGCAGTGAAAGTGGGTGCAGAGAGTGGAGAAACTCCCTGCCCATTTGCTGTCTCACAGTTTCCACAGGTCAGGAGTCCCGGCAGGCTCAGCTAGAACCCCTGCTAAGGTTCTCTGGGCTGCAATCAAGGTGTCAGTCTGGCTGCTTTCCTTCCAGGAACATGGAGTCTTCTTCCAAGTTCATGTGAATGTTGCAAGAATTAGTTCCATGTGGGCTAATACATGTGAATGTTGGAAGAATTAGTTCCATGTGGGCTAATAACTAGGAGTCCAAGTTTTCTGCTGGTGGAGGCAGCTCTCTGGGAATAGAGGCCCCCAGGTTCCTCTCCACATGCACCTCCTCCTAGGCCCCACACAAAGTGCCTGCCTGCCTCCTCCAGGCCAGTGAGAGACTCCCTCAAGACTGTTAAGACAGAGTCTTACATAACGTGACATAATCATGGGCATGAGCACTCACAGCTTTGCTATCTAATATAATCAAGGGAGTGATGCCCCATTAGCAATTGATTAGAAGCAAGTCACAGGCCAGGTGCGGTGGCTCATGCCTGTAATCTCAGCACTTTGGGAGGTCAAAGTGTGTGGATCACTTGAGCCCAGGAGTTTGAGACCAGTCTGGGCAACATAGTGAGACCACTGTCTCTACAAAATAATAATAATAATGATAATAATAATTTGCCAGGCATGGTGGCACACACCTGTGGTCCCAGTTACCTGGGAGGCTGAGATGGGAGAATCGCTTGAGCCCAGGAGTTCCAGGCTTCAGTGAGCTATGACTGCACAACTACACTCCAGCCTTGGAGACAGAGTAAGACCCTGTCTCAAAAAAAGAAAAAAAAAGGATAGGAAATGGAGTGAGGGGGTCACAATCCTGCTTAAACTCAAAGGAGTCGGGGCGGGACAGGTGTATTACTCAGGTGTTATACCAGGTGGCAAAGGTGAGAAGACTATCTTACTTCTTTTTATGTGTGATGTGTATGGATTTCACCATCCATTTTAGGATAGACTATTAGAGGCACAGAGGCACGAAATGAATCCATTTCAAGTACATAGATGGTCAATGACATAGCAAGGGCTAGACCCCAGGTCTTACAAAAGGAAAACATTTCTGAAACTATAAGCTTTGTTACTTAGCTTTTAAGTAACAAATGCTTTTTTTGTTGTCCATTTAAATTCTTGACTTTTTTGTTTTGAATTTTTTAAATTGTTTTGTTGCATGTATTTTCAGTTTGTGAACTTTACTGGATGCCCAGTAAAGTTCGCTTATAAACATTACCTTATGGTGGGCATGAATTAGAAAGCTTGCAGAATAAGCATGTTATTTTTAAAAGAACTGTATTAGGCCATTTCACACTGCTCTAAAGAACTACCTGAGACTGGGTAATTTATGAAGAAAAGAGGTTTAATTGGCTCACAGTTCCTCAAGCTTAAGAGGAAGCATGACTAAGAGGCCTCGGAAACTTACAATCATGGTGGAAGGAGAAGGGCAAGCAAGCACCTTCTTCACATGGTGGCAGGAGAGACAGCGAGTGAAGGGAAAAGTACTACACACTTTCAAACAACCAGATCTCGTGACAACTCACTCACTGTCACAAGAACAGCAAGGGAGAAGTCCACCCCTATGATCCAATCACTTCCCACCAGATTCCTCTCCTGACACATGGGGATTACAACTGGTGATGAGATTTGGGTGGAAACACAGAACCAAACCATATCAGGAACAAACACAATAAAACAAAGTTTGCAATAAAGCTTTATCATGATTTGGAAAGGCATAGATTCAGTTTAGTGGGAACTCATATTACTTCCTATGATGAACATGTTCTGATTACATCTTACACAAATTCTGTCCCTGAACCTTTTCTTCTTCAAGGATCACGCTTGGATTATGTCATAATAAACAAAATGTTCTTCAATTATAAGAGAAAAATGTCATCTGGCCTATTACAAGTGGCACTAGCTCATATTTGGGTCAATTAAAAGACTTTTGCTTAGGGTATATATATCACAGGACAAAATCATAGTTGTGTTGTTCCCAAGGGTGGAAAAGTAGGTTTCTTGTTGTTGTTTTACTTTGTTTTGTTTTGTTTTAAAATGAATGTCATGGATATTTGTGTCAAAAACCCTTGAAGATATTCCATTCTAAAAGAAAAAGAAGATTCTGACTTAATCTTAAGAACACAAGTTTTCATGCAATGTATAACCCGTGTATACTGTAACATAGTATAACAGGCATTTCTAAATGACAATTAAAATGACCCATTTATATAAAAAATAACATCTTAGCTCCTCTTCTATGCTTACTAGTCCAAAATAAGAATCACAGGAGAATGCTGAGAATTAACAAAAGAGCAAATTTAGTTTAAAA
Source organism: Homo sapiens (assembly GCF_000001405.40). Lineage (NCBI taxonomy): Eukaryota > Metazoa > Chordata > Mammalia > Primates > Hominidae > Homo > Homo sapiens. The sequence continues at coordinate 11,470,921 of NC_000018.10, forward strand.
GGTAGTCTTTCATGCTTTGCAAAAAGTATAGAATTGAAAAACCGAGCACATTATATTGGAAGCATTGAAAGGAATGAAAAGGAAGTGTTGGGTAAATGGTGGCAATTGTTCCAACTCATCTGTGAATGCAGGAACAGAACTGAATGCAGGAAGCAGCTAAATAGGATCCATTCAGACTCATCTGTCCCTCCTGTCTCCAGAAAGGCCACGGGGAAACCATGGCATGACAGCTGGTGGGGCACGAGCACTGAGAGAAGCCACAGAGGGGCCACATCAAACGTTCCAACAACCCATCAGGAACGGTGGGCCATCTTCAGAATCAGGCGAACACTGCACACAGAGCCATGCGTAGAGAAGAAGCTGCAAGATAGACCACTGCCTAAAATCATCCATGAACTGTGACTGAAACCAAATAGCCTCAGAATATTGGAGCTATAAGGAACCTTGGAGATTCTCAAATAAATGAATTCATTTACATTTTTTAGTGAAACATTTAACCATGTTTGAAAATAGCATATTAGGAGGTACAATTTAAATTGTATTTTTGTGTGTTTTATTTTAGAACAACTTTTTTTTTTTTTTGAGATGGAGTCTCGCTGTGTCACCCAGGCTGGAGTGCAGTGGCGCCATCTCCGCTCATTGCAAGCTCCGCCTCCCGGGTTCAAGCCATTCTCCTGCCTCAGCCTCCCAAGTAGCTGGGACTACAGGCACCCGCCACCACGCCCGGCTAATTTTTTGTATTTTTAGTAGAGATGGGGTTTCACCATGTTAGCCAGGATGGTCTCGATCTCCTGACCTTGTGATCCACCTGCCTCAGCCTCCCAAAGTGCTGGAATTACAGGCGTGAGCCACTGCGCCCGGCCTAGAATAACCTTTTATTAAACTATATTTCTACATTTCAACACTGTTTATATTTCTAAAATACTTATTGTGTCAATGCATTTCAGATTTTGCAATATTTCAGTGTTTGCTCAAAGCCTTTACTTTAAGAGATGATCTGATATTGCTCGTGTATCTGAAATCAGACAGATGACTAGCAAGATAAAAGAATGTTACTTTAAAAGCATAAATCTTCTTGGGATCCAATTACTTGTGAATGCTCCTCAGCTCCCTCAGGAAAAGAAGCTGCTGACATTCTGGAGAAGAAACAGGTAGAGCTCAGGCTGTCCTGCTCTCCTTTGCGGGTACATTCTTTTAACAAATGCAAGGTGAGCAGATGGCAAATTGGTCTTCATCTCCCCAAAACTTATCAAAAAAAAACAGCGGAACTCATGGCAAACTATATACACACACGAGCACATGCACGAACCCCAGGCTTCCTGTAAGTTGCCCAAATCCAAAGGGATCTTTAAAATACGTCCCCTTTAAAAAGTTGTCATCCTGTATGTAATATTGATCTACATATTCACTCTCCTCTCCAACACATCTCAAAGAAAGCAAAATGCCAGTACTCTTAGCAGACTCATGATCATTATTGGTCTTCCCAGAAGGAAACAGAATGACTACCCATCCTGAGGTACAAATTACCTTTGTGGCACAATAATCAGTATTTTGGCCACTTGTAGCTGATTTCTCAGGTTCTAAGCGCCCCTTGTGCTAACAAACCAATAGTCAGAGCCAGGTCTAGTCAGCATTAAGACATCTGCATCCCAGTGGGCAACCACACACTTTTAAGATGTGCTGTGGCCTGACAGACTTCCCTTGTTATAAATATTAGAATATAATGAATCAGATATGCAAGGACACTAAGGGAAAATCTAACTGATTATATCCTTTCCTTTCAATCTTAATTCTCCCCTTTGTTCTCCAAAGGAAATCTAAACTAACTGCCAGTTTCCTGAGACAGGGTCCAGACGTATCTGCGAACTTGAGGCATTCTGGGTGCTGCAAGAGCTCTGGGAAAATTGGTCCTGGGGATGAAGGGCTCCCTGGTGTCCTATATACATGCCGTGCCATGTATGTTGTGTGCATTAGCTAATTTAACCCCTCCAGTAACCCTCAGAGCAGAGATTCTAAGAGTATGTCCATGGATCCCTGGGAGTTCCCTATGGCACATTACTTTTTTATTATTTTATTTTAATATTGTATTGTAACTTCTATATTAATAACATTTTATATATATTTAAATGATACTATTTTTAATCATTTTACTTTTATAATTTATACCTTTTTTAAATACTACTATGACATTATTTGCCTTTCTCACAGCACTGACATTCTTTTTAAGTTCTATGGATTCTTTTTTTAAAATTTATTTATTTACTTATTTATTTTTTATTATACTTTAAGTTCTGGGATACATGTGCAGAACATGCAGGTTTGTTACATAGGTATACATGTTCCATGGTGGTTTGCTGCACCCATTAACCCATCATCTACATTAGGTATTTCTCCTAATGCTATCCCTCCCCTTATCCTCCACCCACCGATGGGCCCCAGTGTGTCCACGTGGGCCCCTGTGTCCACGTGTTCTCATTGTTCAAATCTCACTTATGAATGAGCACATGCAGTGTTTGTTTTTCTGTTCCTGTGTTAGTTTGCTGAGAATGATGGTTTCCAGCTTCATCCATGTTCCTACAAAGGACATGAACTCATTCTTTTCTACGGCTGCATAGTATTCCATGGTGTATATGTGCCACATTTTCTTTATCCAGTCTATCATTGATGGACATTTATTTGGGTTAGTTCCAAGTCTTTTCTATTGTGAATAGTGGTGCAATAAACATACGTGTGCATGTGTCTTTATAGTAGAATGATTTATAATCCTTTGGGTATATACCCAGTAATGGGATTGCTGGGTCAAATGGTATTTCTGGTTCTAAATCCTTGAGGAATCACCACACTGTCTTCCACAATGGTTGAACTAATTTGCACTACCACCAACAGTGTAAAAGTGTTCCTATTTCTCCACATGCTCTCCAGCATCTATTGTTTCCTGACTTTTTAATGATCGCCATTCTAACTGGCATGAGATGGTATCTCATTGTCGTTTCGATTTGCATTTCTCTAATGACCAGGGATGATGAGCTTTTTTTCATAGGTTCGTTGGCTGCATAAATGTCTTCTTTTGAGAAGTGTCTGTTCATATCCTTCACCCACTTTTTGATGGGCTTGTTTTTTTCTTGTAAATTTGTTTAAGTTCCTTGTAGATTCTGGATATTAGCCCTTTGTTATGTGGATAGATTGCAAAAATTTTCTCCCATTCTGTATGTTGCCTGTTCACTCTGATGATAGTTTCCTTTGCTGTGCAGAAGCTCTTTAGTTTAATTAGATCCCATTTGTCAGTTTTGGCTTTTGTTGCAATTGCTTTTGGTGTTTTAGTCATGAAGTCTTTGCCTATGCCTATGTCCTGAATGGTATTGCCTAGGTTTTCTTCTAGGGTTTTTATGGTTTTAGGTCTTACGTTTAAGTCTTTAATCTATCTTGAGTTAATTTTTGTATGAGGTGTAAGGAAGGGATCCAGTTTCAGTGTTCTGCATATGGCTAGCCAGTTTTCCCAACACCATTTATTAAATAGGGAATCGTTTCCTCATTGCTTGTTTTTGCTAGGTTTGTCAAAGATTAGGTGACTATAGATGTGTGGTGTTATTTCTGAGGCTTCTGTTCTCTTCCATTGGTCTATATATCTGTTTTGGTACCAGTACCATGCTGTTTTGGTTACTGTAGCCTTGTAGTATAGTTTGAAGTCAGGTGGCGTGATGCCTCCAGCTTTGTTCTTTTTGCTTAGGATTGTCTTGGCTATATGGGCTCTTTTTTGGTTCCATATGAAATTTAAAGTAGTTTTTTCTAATTCTGTGAAGAAAATCAGTGGTAGATAGGTGGGAATAGCATTGAATCTATATATTACTTTAGGCAGTATGGCCATTTTCATGATATTAATTCTTCCTATCCATGAACATGGAATGTTTTTCCATTTGTTTGTGTCCTCTCTTACTTCCTTGAGCAGTGGTTCATAGTTCTCCTTGAAGAGATCCTTCACATACCTTGTAAGTTACATTCCTAGGTATTTTATTCTTTTTGTAGCAATTGTGAATGAGAGTTCACTCATGATTTTGTTCTCTGTTTGTCTATGTTTAGTGTACAGGAATGCTTGTGATTTTTGCACATTGATTTTGTATCCTGAGACTTTGCTGAAGTTGTTTATCAACTTAAGGAGTTTTTGGGCTGAGACAATGGGGTTTTCCTTTTTTTTTTTTTCTTTTTTTTTGAGACAGAGTCTCACTCTGTCACCCAGGCTGGAGTGCAGTGGTGCGATCTCCACTCACTGCAAGCTCTGCCTCCTGGGTTCACACCATGCTCCTGCCTCAGCCTCTCGAGCAGCTGGGACCACAGGAGCCCGCCACCACACCTGGCTGATTTTGTGTGTGTGTGTGTGTGTGTGTGTGTGTGTGTGTATTTTTATTAGAGACAGGGTTTCACTGCAATGGGGTTTCCTAAATACACAATCATGTCATCTGTAAACAGAGGCAATTTGACTTCCTCTCTTCCTATTTGAATACCCTTTATTTCTTTCTCTTGCCTGATTGCCCTGCCTAGAACTTCCAATACTATGTTAAATAGGAGTGGTGAGAGACAGCATCCTTGTCTTGTGCCGGTTTTCAAAGGGAATGCTTCCAGCTTATGCCCATTCAGTATGATGTTGGCTGTGGGTGTGTCATAAATAGCTCTTATTATTTTGAAGTTTGTTCCATCAAGCCCTAGTTTATTGAGTGTTTTTAGCATGAAGGGGTGATGAGGTTTATTGAAGGCCTTTTCTGCATCCTTTGAGATAATCATGTGTTTTTTGTCATTGGTTCTGTTTATGTGATGGATTACATTTATTGATTTGCATATGTTGAACCAGCCTTGCCTCCCAGGGATGAAGCCAACTTGATCGTGGTGGATAAGTTTTTCATGTGCTGCTGGATTTGGTTTGCCAGTATTTTATTGAGGGCTTTCACATCGATGTTCATCAGGGATAGTGACCTGAAATTTTCTTTTTTGTTGTGTTTCTGCCAGGTTTTGGTATCAGGATGATGCTGGCCCCATAAAATGAGTTAGGGAGGAGTCCTTCTTTTTCTATTGTTTGGAATAGTTTCAGAAGAAATGGTACCAGCTCCTCTTTGTAGCTCTGGTAGAATTCAGCTGTGAATTCATCTGGACCTGGACTTTTTTTGGTTGGTAGGCTATTAATTACTGCCTCAATTTCAGAACTTGTTATTGGTATATTCAGGGATTCGACTTCTTCCTTGTTTAGTCTCGGGAGGGTTTATGTGTCAAGGAATTTATCCCTTTCTTCTAGATTTTCTAGTTTATTTGCGTAGAGGTGTTCATAGTATTCTCTGATGGTAGTTTGTATTTCTGTGGGATCAGTGTGATATCCCATTTATCATTTTTTATTGTGTCTATTTGATTCTTCTCTCTTTTCTTCTTTATTAGTCTGGCTAGCGGTCTATCTGTTTTGTTAATCTTTTCAAAAAATCTGCTCCTGGATTCATTGATTTTTTGAAGGGTTTTTCGTGTCTCTATCTCCTTCAGTTCTGCTCTGATTTTAGTTATTTCTTGTCTTCTGCTAGCTTTTGAATGTGTTTGCTCTTGCTTCTCTAGTTCTTTTAATTGTCATGTTAGGGTGTCGATTTTAGATCTCTCCTGCTTTCTCCAGTGGGCATTTAGTGCTATAAATTTCCCTGTCAACACTGCTTAAATGTGTCCCAGAGATTCTGGTATGTTGTGTCTTTGTTCTCATTGGTTTCAAAGAACTTATTAATTTCTGCCTTAATTTCGTTATGCACCCAGTAGTCATTCAGGAGCAGGTTGTTCAGTTTCCATGTAGTTGCGCAGTTTTGAGTGAGTTTCTTAATCCTGAGTTATAATTTGATTGCACTGTAATCTCAGAGACTGTTTGTTATGATTTCCATTCTTTTACATTTGCTGAGGAGTGTTTTACTTCCAGTTATGTGGCCAGTTTTAGAATAAGTGCTATGTGGTGCTGAGAAGAATATATATTCTGTTGATTTAGGGTGGAGAGTTCTGTAGATGTCTATTAGATCCACTTGGTCCAGAGCTGAGTTCAAGTCCTGAATATCCTTGTTAATTTTCTGTCTCGTTGATCTGTCTAATATTGACAGTGGGGTGTTAAAGTCTCCCACTATTGCCGTGTGGGAGTCTAAGTCTCTTTGTAGGTCCCTAAGGACTTGCTTTATGAATCTGGGTGCTCCTGTATTGGGTGCATATATATTTAGAATAGTTAGCTCCTCTTGTTGCATTGATCCCTTTACCATTACGTAATGCCCTTCTTTGTCTTTTTTTAATCTTTATAGGTTTAAAGTTTGTTTTATCAGAGACTAGGATTGCAATACATGCTTTTTTTTTTTTTTTTTTTTTTGCTTGGTAAATAGTCCTCCATCCTTTTATATTGAGCCTATGTCTGTCTTTGCATGTGAGATGGGTCTTCTGAATACAGCACATCAATAGGTCTTGACTGTGTCCAATTCGCCAGGCTGTGTCTTTTAATTGGGGCATTTAGCCCATTTACATTTAAGGTTAACATTGTTATGTGTGATTTTGATCCTGTCATCATGATGCTAGCTGGTTATTTTGCACATTAGTTGATGCACTTTCTTCATGATGTCATTGGTTTTTATATTTTGGTATGTTTTTGCAGTGGCTAATACCAGTTTCTCCTTTCCATATTTAGTGCTTCCTTCAGGAGCTCTTATAAGGCAGGCCTGGTGGTGACAAAATTCCTCAGGATTTGCTTGTCTGGAAAGGATTTTATTACTCCTTTGCTTATGAAGCTTAGTTTGGCTGGATATGAAATTCTGGGTTGAAAATTCTTTTCTCTAGGAATGTTGAATATTGTCCCCCACTCTCTTCTGGCTTGCAAGGTTTCTGCAGAGAGATCCGCTGTTACTCTGATGGGCTTCCCTCTGTGGGTAACCTGACCTTTCTCTCTGGCTGCCCTTAACATTTTTTCCTTCGTTTCAACCTTGGTGAATCTGACAAGTATGTGTCTTGGGGTTGCTCTTCTCGAGGATTATCTTAGTGGTGTTCTCTGTATTTCCCAGATTTGAATGTTGGCCTGTCTTGCTAGGTTGGGGAAGTTCTCCTGGATAATATCCTGAAGTATGTTTTCCTACTTGTTTCCATTCTCCCCGTCACTTTCAGGTACACTGATCAATCGTAGGTTTGGTCTTTTCACATAGTCCCATATTTCTTGGAAGCTTTGTTTGTTCCTTTTCATTCTTTTTTCTCTAATCCTGTGTTCATGCTTCATTTCATTAAGTTGATCTTCAATCTCTGATATCCTTTCTTCCGCTTGACTGATTTGGCTATTGATACTTGTGTATGCTTCACGAAGTTCTCATGCTGTGTTTGTCAGCTACATCAGGTCATTTATGTTCTTCTCTAAACCAGTTATTCTAGTTAGCAGTTCCTGTAACCTTTTATCAAGGTTCTTAGCCTCCTTGCATTGGGTTAGAATATGCTCCTTTAACTCAGAGGAGTTTGTTATTACCCACCTTCTGAAGCCTACTTCTGTCAGTTTATCAAACTCATTCTCTATCTGGTTTTCTTCCCTTGCTGGCAAGGAGTTGTGAGTTGTGATCCTTTGGAGGAGAAGAGGAATTCTGGTTTCTGGAATTTTCAGCATTTTTGCACTGGTTTTTCCTCATCTTCATGGATTTATCTACCTTTGATCTTTGATGCTGATGACCTTTGAATGGGGTTTTTGCATGGGCATCCTTTTTGTTGATGTCAATGTTATTGCTTTCTGTTTGTTAGTTTTCCCTCTACAGTCAGGCCTCTCTTCTGCATGTCTGCTGTAGTTTGCTGGAGGTCCACTCTAGGCCCTGTTTGCCTGGGTATCACCAGTGGGGGCTGCAGAACAGCAAAGTTTGCTGCCTGCTCCTTCCTCTGGAAGCTTCGTCCCAGAGGGGCACCCACTAGATACCAGCCGGAGCTCTCCTGTATGAGGTGTCTGTTGACCCCTGCTGGGAGGTGTCTCCTGGTCAGGAGGCACAGGGGTCAGGGACCCGCTTGAGGAGGAAGTCTGTCCCTTAGCAGAGCTCAAGCGCTGTGCTGGGAGATTCGCTGCTCTCTTCAGATCCAGCAGGCAGGAAGGTTTAAGTCTGCTGAAGCTGCACCCACAGCTGCCCCTTGCCCCAGGTGCTCTGTCCCAGAGAACCCGATCTGACTGGGGCTGCTGCCTTTCTTTCAGAGATTCCCTGCCCAGAGAGGAGGAATCTAGAGAGGCAGTCTGGCTACAGTGGCTTTGCTGCGCTGCGGTGGGTTCTGCCAAGCTCAAACTTCCAGGTGGCTTTGTTTACACTGTGAAGGGAAAACCGCCTACTCAAGCCTCAGTAATGGTGGATGCCCCTCCCTCCACCAAGCTCCAGTGCCCCAGGTCGACTTCAGACTGCTGTGCTGGCAACGAGAAATTTCCAGCCAGTGGATCTTAGCTTGCTGGGCTCCGTGGGGCTGGGACCTGCTGAGCAAGACCACTTGGCTTTCTGGTCTCAGCCCCTTTCCAGGTGAGTGAACAGTTCTGTCTCACTGGGGTTCCAGGCACCACTGGGGTATGAAGAAAAACTCCTGCAGCTAGCTTGGTGTCTGCTCAAATGGCCGCCCAGTTTTGTGCTTGAAACCCAGGGCCCTGGTGGTGTAGGGACCCCAGGGAATCTCCTGGTCTGCAAGTTGCAAAAACCGTGGGAAATGCATAGAATCTGGGCCAGATAGCACCTTCCCTCACTGCACAGTCTCTCACAGCTTCCTTTGGCTAGAAGAGGGAGTTCCCAGATCCCTTGCACTTCCCAGGTGAGGCGATGCCGCCACCCTGCTTCGGCTCACCCTCCGTGGGCTGCACCCAGTGAGATGAACCAGGCACCTCAGTTGGAAATGCAAAATCACCTGCCTTCTGTGTTGGTCTTGCTGGGAGCTGCAGACTGGAGCTGTTTCTATTCGGCCATCTTGCCTGGAACCAGTTCACTGCACGGACATTTGTACTGATGGCACACAAGGAATGTTGGGGGAAATTGCTGGTGCCTTAGCACAAACCAGTGCAGCGGTATGAACCTGTATGGGTGGCCATTGCATTCCTCACTACCCACATTTAAAAAGAAGTCAGTTTTACTTAAGAAAGTTTTTGATAAAGGTGTAACAATTTTTTATTTTATTAAATCTCCACCCTTGAGTTCCCATCTTTTTATTATTCTGTGAGACAAATGGGAAGTTCTCACAAAGTACTTCTACTGCACATAGAAGAAAACCATCATCTTAAAGAAAAACACTTGTACAGTTATCTGAGTGTGAGCTGACCCAACTTCTACTTTCATGGTATACCATTTTTATAGTGCTTGTGAGAATGACTGATATATCAATTATGATTATTCAGATGGGTATCTGGAAGCCATTTTCTTGAAAATAAAGTAAGCACGTGACTTTAAGAAAAACAACTAAGAGTATCTGTTCCCAATAAAAAAAAATAGAACTTTCATATGTATACCCAAAAACTTAAAGTATAATAAAAAAAGAAAAAGAAAAATAGAACTTTCAAGCAAAAAAAAATTTTTTAATTAAAATTTAAATTTAAAATTTGAAAACTGTGTATCATAGTGAGCTTAACGTCTTTCCAATCTTAAATGCTTTTTGATGAGGTCAGTGAGAATGTTGACAAAAGTGGGGGTTTGGGTTATCATGTAATAAAATGGATAAACATTTGGAAGATCCACATAGCTCAGGGAACCCATGCATGATGCTACAAAATCATTCAAGGTAAAAGATCCATTCAAAGTGGAAACTAGACTAATGGATTCAATGTAATCAAATACAAAAAGTTCCCTGGTGTGGTTTCAGATTACACATTGCAGCTAGCCATTGGGAAACTATAACTTGTGGAGTTTTGGTGTAGTCTCATAGAAGAATACCCACAACCTGCTTGAAAGCTATTAAAATATTCCTCCCTTTTCCAACTACACTTCTGTGTGAGGCCAGATTTTCATTACGTACTTTAGCCAAAATGACAAAGAACAAGATTGAATGCAGAGGCAGATACAAATCCAGATGTTTTCTATTACTAAAGAGACATTAATGATACTAAAGAGATTTGGGAAATGTAAAACAATGCCACTGTTCTCACAGAAGTATTCTTTGTTTTGGAAAATATAGTTACTTTCCATTAAAAATTATATTGTTAGTTTTAAATAAACATATTAAAGATATTTGAGAGCTTCTTATTTTTACTTTCTAATATGGTAAATTAATATGGACTTTTTGGGGTCCTCAATAATATTTAAAGGAGTTAACAGGTTCTGCAACCAAAAGTGTTGAGAACTACTGCTTCACAGGTAAGTACTACAATGAAATCCCATTTGTCTGTCAAAATCCAGACTGGTAGTAGAAATGTGGGTTGAAGAAAGTTGGCAAGTTAGGGAATCATAAATTGATAATATGTTCATGTTTTAATCACTTTCCTTTAAAGAAAAGTATGCGTAGATTTCTGCCACTCTTTTGATCTAAGGATAAACCATTTTCTTTGTCGGTCTGCCTTTTGCAGTGTCTTTCTTGCATAAACTACACCCATAAAGCAATATCTAAGATTCCTAATATTTTTAGTGAAGAATGGTATTTAAAACACTGTGGAAATCAACCCAAATGAAGGCCCTTTCTAGGTTTCCAAACTACTTTACACTATTCCAATTTTAAAACTGTAATCTCACTCATAGCTAATTCAACATAAAAGTTTTAACCCATCACTTATACTCTCTTTTCAAAACATCCAACTTAAGTTTCATAAAAGTAGCAACTCTCTAAACACAGACGTTTTGAGGAGTTACAGAATATGTAAAATATTTTATTTACACTAAATTTCAACAAGCAGACATACATTTGGAAATAAATGTAATGATATCAGTAAGCATACATTGTTTGGGAGGGACTGCTATGGTTGACTTGAAATGCACATTGATAAAGCATAAAATTTGTAAGAATTTAAAAAAAAAAAACATTTCTTATAATAAGGGAAATTGGCCATGTTTACAGACTGGGAAACCTGTAGGTGTGGCTGTTCTAAAATTTCATATAATCTCTTTCATGCATGCATCTTACTTTTTCACTTTAATTTTGACCAACCCAGATCCATTCCAGAATTGACTGGAGATGCCGATTTAACCCAGGGTTCTAAGCTGAGTTGGAAAATATTCATCTAGTTACTCAAGAGGCAACCAATCTTCTAAAAGTAGAGACTAAACAGTCAAATAAGTCTAGTTCCTTGGGAAATAAATTTCTATGTGGCTCCACTCCTTTGAAATAGGAAGGAATCATCCTTTGTATTTTAAGATGAATATCTGCTGTCTGTCTTCTCTCATTGTCAACCAAATACCTAAAAGATTTCCCTAAGTCTGTGGTTCAGGGATGGAAAAAAAGATAATGTGCTTCAAGTAATACAATAGCTAATTTTTAAAAATTTCTAGTTAAGTGACTCAAATGGGTTAGCACATTTTATTGTCATATCACAAGACAAAATTACCTCAAGGCCCACAGTCACATAACCTCCCCACTTCCTGAAATGATAGCCCTGTGCCAAGAAAGATAAAGGTAGAATGTCCAGGTTTTTCAGGAAAACAGCATGGCTGCATTGTGGTCAGCCACAGCTTTAGAAGATTCTCCCCTTCTAACTAAGCAAGCTGACTGGAGAAGCTCCTGTTGTCCAAGCTACTTCCAACACAAATTCCTAGAAAAATATACACCCCTTTTAGAGAATTTTCTTCTAAAGGAGCCCTTATGCATAGGCAGTAATATGAAGACTTCAGTGAACAGGTTCAGAAGTTAATCACAACAAGATTAGCTCATAGACTTACTGACTTTCTTTCTGGGTAGTTGAGTTGAGAAACGCCTTAGACATCTCAAACTCTTTCATGAATGCAATGCTTTACCTCTTGATTTTTTACTCTTTCCAGGATTAAAGTTTGTGATATACTTAACTCAGGATTTAGGCAAACTGAAGGTAAGATGAAAGGCAATAATCAAATAAATTCATTTAAAATTAAATTGTGATATGTTGTAGGTAATTTTTAGTTTAGTCCTCACTTCTCTGTCTCCTGTTTCTTATTAAAGTTGAATATCTTTTAGACATCTGACAAATGTAGAACATTATTTGTCATTTTGCAACTTCACACACACTGGAGATGGCACTTTAAATTTCATTGACGATACATTTTGGAATTGTTTTCTAACCTCAGCATATTTGTTGATGTCCTAATTCTGATGACATTATCTAGAAGTGACCATGAAGAACACATTCTGTAGACTGACTAATTGGAGATAGCCTGCTCTTTGAACTTTACCCATAGAGCTGCATAGTAATTACAATTGCAATTCATAGCAACATGTTTCGGAAGAGAAGGAAGTCTCTGAACACACGAGTATCCCCTCACTAATCATAAACTGTCACCAAAAGCATAAAATCATGCAATTTTAAATGTCATCTAGTTGAGTCCCAAAGAAATTGGGGCCCAATTTTCTCAGATGAAAAGAAAATTGAACAGTATTATATACAATTGTTCTTAAAAGAGCAAAATAATTTTTCTTCTGAAAATACAAAGCAAATTGTTACAAAATAAATGGAGTGTTTCACACTTAGGTTTGTAAAATGTAATAGCTTGAATTGGATTTTCAAATATGCTGTCACCTAGAAAACTGATATGAGGCCATTTCGACACCAGCAGCCCAAGCGGGGGTTTTAGTGCAGCATTAAAAGAAGTAACCTTCCAAAGCCAACAACAGAAACTCAAAGAATGACTTTCAGGTACTCTCAGATAGCTGGAAATGTGAGTTTGGGGCTAGAGTGGGGAGAAGTGGGAAGGAAGCAGTCAAGAGAACCGAAGAAGTAATTTTGTCAGATTCACTGCTCAGCACATTCACAGAAAGCAGCATTTTTTAGCTCCTCTCCTTTCGTGATCCAACATTATCCACTTTTCTCATGCTTACATCAGCAACTAAACACATATCCTCTTAGTGTCCTGTTTGTAATCCATTATTTAAGGAGCTTATGCATAATCCATCACTACCATTGCCTCCTTGCTCACAGTACTACTGCACATGCAAGCAGTACTAAACAAGGAACTATATAAGGAATGATGACAAGAAAAAGTTATTCATCTTAAGCAATGAAAAAGGACTATATGTATCTATTGGTTGACCATCTAGGGGTGACCCAGGTTGCAAAAAAGTGAATTATTTGAAAGGCAATATTGCATTGTCAAAAGTGTGTATAGGCAGACAGACATGGGTTTACTTGGACTTTTGGCAAATTAATTAACCTACACGGTGCTCAATTTCCTCATTGGTGAAATAGCTATTTTCATACTCTCCTAGTTGTGATATTGTGAGCATTCAAGAAGACATATGTAAAAACCTGGCCCAGTGCCTAATCCATCCACAGCAGGGACTCAATAGATTGTAACCGAAACAGCAATAGGGTCCATGAGAAAAGCATTTCCTTAGAAGTTCTTCTAAGCCTAGAAACAGTAGTCCAGGACTTGCATTTAAAGCAGATAAACTAATGACTTCTGTCAAACAAGGTTTTCCTAATAGTGGTCTGAGTCTATCAGTTTTCCATATTAAAGATTTCTTGGGGCGGGGGGGGGGAATGCAGTTGAAGGCTTCCTATGGTCATGTAAGTTTTAGATACTGTAGGTTAAGAAAGACCAGTATGGCCGGACGCGGTGGCTCATGCCTGTAATCCCAGCACTTTGGGAGGCCGAGGCAGGTGGATCACAAGGTCAGGAGATCGAGACCATCCTGGCCTAACACGGTGAAACCCCGTCTCTACTGAAAAATACAAAAAATTAGCCGGGCGTGGTGGTGGGAGCCTGTAGTCCCAGCTACGCGGGAGGCTGAGACAGTAGAATGGCGTGAACCCGGGAGGCGGAGCTTGCAGTGAGCCGAGATCGCGCCACTGCACTCCAGCCTGGGCGACAGAGCGAGACTGCATCTCAAAACAAAACGAAACAAAAAAAAAAAAGAAAGACCAGTATTTCCTTACTAAATATTTCTTTAGGATTTAATATGCTAATGAGCATTGAAAATGTCCAAGACAGTAATATAGTATGAAGTGCACCCCAAAAACCTATTCAATAGGAGAATTGTTTTTAAGGAGTATATATAGTATGGGACAAGTGATTTATGGAAAAAATACTGGCAATTGCTGCCGTAAAAATACAAGTGGTCACAAAAAATTAATTTGACAACGTAAATGGGAATAACATAATGAATTAACGTTAGCATGAAACTCAGAATTCTTCTTTAATAATTTTATTGATAATTAGCAACTCTGCAAATCTCTTCCTGACTTTTTATTTGTATAGTCTAAGTACATACCTAAAAATTCATACATCCGTTGTCCTGAAGAAGCCATGGGTTATGCCAGTCCTTGTCTCAGAAACTGTTGCCAGCACAGCTTGGGGGCTTGGCAATGCCATTAGCTCAGTACTGAGCCATGAAAGCAGAAATCAGATCTCCAAAGGGACCGTGCATGGTGGGCCAGAGCAAGGCAAGGTTTCAGTAGAAATGAACTAAATTCCCTTCTGCTCAATTCTGTGCAGAACTTTGTTGCCTTACAAAGTCATATGAAAACATATCCCCTAGTTTCTGCTTCTAATTCTGTCTCCAAAAAAGAAGAAAAAGAAAGTCAAGGGGACCAAATGGGGAACAAACTCTAGGCCACTTTTGATAGCAAAATTATTCCATGTCATAGTTCAGGCAAAATCCAAGACTCTCAAGTCATGCAAGCGAGTACTAAGGTGAGTCACTGGCCCACAAATTGCACTAGTCACCAAATCCTGAAACCCACCTTCTCTTGCTGAATTTGAGCAGATAGTAACCAAGAATATGAATAGAGAAAGTGGGTTTGGCACGTGCAAAAGCATTAATGGGTGAAAGTAGCTCCCTAATTGTTACTTAACGGGCACTGTGGGCTACATCTCCCCCAGAAATATCTCTACCTTAAAGCTTATGACTGGCAGTCTTTCATTTTTTCAAGTTTTTAAGCCCTGAGCACAAAACTGCAAATATCCCTTTGAGGGATGGCACATGAACCTGTGCATCTCACATGGAACAAGTACTCATTGAGCAGCCACTATATGCTGGGCACTGTTCTAGATGCTGTTGATACAGCAATTGATAAAAAAAAAAAAACTGAAGTCTCTTCCCCCTTAAGAATTTTATTCTACCGTAGCATGGCTATCAACAATAGAATGTCTCTGTTGTTCGTTTTGATGTTACAGCCTACTTGGAACCAGGCTAGAATTAGTTTGTCAAAGCAAGTTCAAGAGGTGATGAACACTGCCAGGTAGAGCAGGCCAAGACATGGCCATTAGACATGGCCGTTATGACTGTCAGGAAAGGATGAGGTCTAAGACCCTGGGCACTGAATCCCTAGGGGTGTGTGTGTGTGTGTGTGTGTGTGTATGCATACTCACACCCACCATGTTTGGCATGGATACTGAAAGTAGTCATGCAAAGAAAACTGAGGCAAGTTTGCCAACCTCAAGATTTATCCTAGGCCTGCCTCAAACAAAAATGGTATAAGAAAGAAGAATAAATTGATGCCCACAAAGTGCTGTGCCAAAGCAACATTGCCATCTGTATTGTGAGTCTGATGAGTCTCATTAACTATTTACACAGGCCTTGCTAATTGCAAAGGGCACTTGGGGAATTCTAAGAGGGTGCATACTTTTAATGGGAGAATAGAAATTCTGCGTCTGACAACACAGAGTTTTAAAATAAGCTGGGGGAAGCAAAATGATGCAAAGGAAATGTGACAGGCCCTTGTAGAGTGTCCGCCTGGTTTAAAGAGAGCCCCTGAGGTCATGCTTGGGCCCATGACCCTTGTCCCAGCCCAGCTGTCTGAACCAGGGAGGGCACCGGATCCCATTCAGAAAAATTATATTATCATTCTTGGTAGTTTGTAATTGGAGCTACACAACCTTAATTTAGTGTGTAATACTCTTTTATCTAGAGTATCTCACTAATTCAAAAAAAATAAAGAAACAAACTTATGACGGATTGCTGACCCAATTTTAAAAGCATAATATTGAAGATCATGGAATAACATCTTCTCCCCTATCCCACAGGTGAATTGGAAAGCAACTCATAAGAATAAGGAAAGAAGTATGAAATAGGTGTAAAGAAACTGTTCGTGTACTTGATGGTTTGCAAATATCATGGGGAGGCTCCAGATTGTGTTTTCCAAAGATGACTAAAACAGTATCATCTCCCATTCCCTATGCTCTTCTAAGACCTTGCTATTCATTTTCCCATTAAGAGGTAAAGTCCAGTTCACCTCCTTTTGAGTCTGGTTAGGCTTGTGACCAAGAGAATGCAGCAGAATTAACGCTGTGTGACTTCTAAAGCTAGGTCACAAAAGGCAAGTCCGCTTCTGCCTTCTAAGCTGGGGCATTCGCCTTTGGTGTTCTGTGCCGCTGTATAAAGAGTCTGACCATCCTAAGACCACCATGTTGTGAGGAGCCCAAGCCACATGGAGAGGTCACATAGATGTTCCAGTGACAGCCCCAAATGAGGGTCTGCTGACAACCAGCATCAGCCACCACACACACAGATGATAACATCTCCAGGACTCTAGTTCCCAGATGCCTGCATATCCCCAGGCTCTGAATCCTCCAGCGGAGGCCCAGACATTGTGGAGTACATGCAACCCATGCCAGCCCTGTCATGTCCTGTCTGAATTCCTCACCCACAGTAGTCAGAGCATATAAAATGGTTGTTCTATGCCACTACATTTTGGAGTTGTTGGTTTCCCAGCAGCACAAAATGGAACAGAGGCTTAAGTTTACTCTTACCCTAGAATTCCAGGAGATCCTACTGTATTCTCTTTTAGTCTTCTGTAGATTTTGAGGATTTCTACTAGGTTGTGAGGATTTCTATCACTTGCTGTCAAACCACTGAAATTCATATTAAATTGGTATTCAAAATGGGGTTGCAGAGAAAAAGTGTCAGAGTGGATTGGGACCAGCAAGAAGTTATTGTCCTGGGATAGAGAGCTGCAATGCACGTTTAACGATAGCAGTATGTCTTGTTCCTTGGGAATCAGATGTCTTACTTCATCAGATAGCTAGACTTTAGAGGAATTCATCATTTTAAATGTCAGAATATCAGATTGAGTTATCGATTCCTTATGGCCTTCAGTAAAGGTCAGAGAAGTGGCAAGCCTCAGCCGACGCTGCTCCATGGAAGTCACCAGAAGAGAATAGAGGACAGCCCACTGACGCAGAGAATCAGAGCACAGCATCCACTATTAGTTTGGACAAACTGTGGTGGCCACCAGGGGTGTATGTGTGTGAGAGAGAGAGAGATTATGAACTGATTGAAAAACTGAAGATTACCAGCAACTGGAATGAGGATATATAGGAAGGAGGAGCCAGAAATGTGAGCAAGCCCTTCAGAATGTACCTTCTCCACCACCAAGTGAAAATGAAGATTCCTCCCCTTGTAATACTCGGTTGGCTGTGATGCAACATTTTGGCAAGACTCCAAAGCAGATTTGCGAAGAAATGCACCCTGAAACCCATGCCAATACTCCAATCTATAATATCCTGCTCATGCTCTGAGGTCATTAAGGAAAAAAATCATGAAAATAGGTGGAGCCCCAGAATTTCCTCTAAAAATCAGAAGACTCACAGGTATGGCTTAGCCCTGAAAGTATAGCCAGCCAGGAGATTCACAAAGATGTTTCAACACTATCCTGACAAATAAAATTCTCAAAAATGAAACTGGCACATGGCTGACCATAGTTTTACAAGAATGGTCACACAAGAAAAATCCCTCAAACTAACAGCCCCCTGAAATGTTCAAGCATAAGTATAAATGATGTTGGTAATGGGTGATTGTGACTAAGACCTCCCTGTCCCACCTCCACAGAGAGAATCTCCGAGATGCTCTGGAAGAACAATGGCCAAGCAAAATTCTCCCGGAGGACAGAGTCTGTGGCAGTCTTTCTGGGTGACCAGGTAATTTACTTTGTTATCAAATAGATTAATCATCAAATTAACATTTATGAGAGTTGTCAGTCATTTCATTTACTTCATCATCCCTGTAGAAGCCTCTAGTCTCAACCAACCTGCGACATGATCTTGGTGATTTGTTCAGCCTTCCTCCTTTATCAATTTTTTTTTTCTGAGATGGAGTTTCACTTGTCACCCAGGCTGGACTGCAATGGCATGATGGCTCACTACAACCTTGCCTCCCTGGTTCGAGCCATTCTCCTGCCTCAGCCTCCTGCCCTAAAGTGATCCTCCCACCTCAGCCTTTCAAAGTGCTGGGATTACAGATGTGAGCCATTGCACCCACCTTTTTTTCTCATTTTGAAAATATAAAAAATTAAAACAGAAATAGGGGGAAAATGGATCTCACCCAGAGGTAACAGGCTCCAAGAACAGTGGCTCTAAAAAGTCTTCTCTGGATGAGTGATGGACTTTTCATTTGTCTCCTTGTTGGAGGGGGCGGGGGCAGTGAGTGTGTTTGCAGTTGTGCTTGTATCCTATTACGTGGGATTCCTTTTGATGTGTGGGATGACAGGTGTGTGGCATTGAGGGACAGATGCTGGTAGTGTCTTGGGTACAGTTCCCTGGAGCAGAACCTGAGAAGGGGATGTTTGTGCAAGACATTTATCAATGGAGTGCACTCACAAGAAACATGTAGGGGTCGGTGGGAGCCATATTGGGAAGGGAGGAAAGAAAAATGAAAAAGGATGTGGTCTCCGATGCAGCTGGGCTTCAGCTTGATCCCATGGGGCCTCTGGGGAATAAACTGTACCACAGGGTCTGCTCAGTCTTGGGGCATGAATGCAAGGTGGTTTCTTTGTTTGTTTGTTTGTTTTGTGTGTGTGTGTTTTCCATAAAGCAGTCAGTTATTGGCCCAGGACTACAGGAGAGGATACAAAGAACCTAGGTCCCTTCATGGGGAGGGACTTCCCTATCTCCCAGGGACACTGGCTCCAGTGTTCAGTCACCTGCCCAAGATGCCTAGGCCTGCAGGAGGGACCAGAGGCAGATGATGTAGACAATGATGATGTCACAAAGAGAAGTGAGAAATAATGCAAGCAGCTCCATTCCCCACGGCAACTGTGCAGAGAGGCTTGCAGGTCCAAACCACTGGTAGCAGCCCCTGGTATATCCAGGACATCAGCACATAGAACCAGTGAAAGGGTCCTCCCTCATAGTGACGCATGTCATAGACTCAGATTTATACAAACAAATGCTGAGCAAACCATGAAGAGTCTCTGGTATTTTCAACAATATCATCACAGAGGAACTGTATTGATTTCCTTGTAAGTATTTAGATTTTTCTCTCTCATGTAAAATGTCATATCAGATTTTTATCATCTCTTTTAAATTTTTAGAAGAGCATTTCCCAAACTCTACTGAAGTGACAGATTTCCTTATCCATCTATCCCGCCAACATCCAGGCACGTTCAGGGTACTGGGAGAGGCAACAGGGATGGAGGTCCCATGTCAGGGGACTTCACAGTGTGACGGGAATGTTCAACCTGCACCTGTTCCTTGCACCATACTCCATCCAGCTCTCCGCTCTTCCAGTCATTTATGCTCCTGTCTTCCGTGGAGGAAGTCTGGTAGTATCTCCCCGGGACACTGGCTCAAATTTCCAGCCACCTGCCCAAGACAGATGGGACCAGGGGCCAGATGATGTGGACAATGATGATGTCACAAAGAGAAGTAAGAAATAAAGGAGGCAACTTAGTGGGAAAGGTGATGTTCTGGGTTCTGAAGAAGATGAGAGATACCAGGCCAGGCTGTGCTTTGCCTCTTGGCCTATTTTCCTTCCTGACTTTTTTCAGCCACAGTGAGTCTCTGAGACCTAGTTTTGGCAGAAGGAAGTACCAGAGGGAGCTGAGCTGTTGAACATTATGTGCGATCATGTAATAACTGCAATCGGAAGGGAAACACTCAGAGTCCTGGAGAAAGAGAAATTCGCATTTGTGGACGCCTGCTGGGAGCTAGGCACTTTCGAATAGTTCCTGTCACCTAACTTAAGTATCATTACTCAAGTACTAATTAACTTAGGTATTATGCAGAGAAGTCGAATAATTAGAAAAGTGGCATGACTTATACAAGGCAACATAACAGCTAGAATTTAAATGTAAAACTGCCCGATTCCAAATCCACACTCTTTCTACTACAAGGCCTTGCCCCCTTCTCTGGGCCACACCAACATCGCAGTTGCAGGCGAAGAGGCCATGTCTAATGACTGCCCCCTTTACATGCCAACCTAGTCATGGTCATGGTGGTGTGATATCTAAAAACAAAATGGAACCACCATGAAAAATTTGTCTCTGAGGACCCAGAGTAGTAAAATCCCAGGATAAGGAAGGCCTTTAGCGGATATATGGCCTGCTGTCCCGTTCAGTCTAGAAAACGCCTCCTCAGGGTCCCTGCAGATGGTCACCTCCCTCTGCAGGAGGACGTCCAGTGGGAGGAGAGCCACTTCCCCAGGTCTCCCTGACACTAATGTCAGAAGGTGCTTTCTTAGGTTGAATCAAAATCTCTCTCCCTGTGTCTTCTCTTTGCTTCCTGTTCTTTTCTCTGGAGCAACATGATGTAAATAAGTTTATTTTCTTTTGTGCACATCAGAATTTCATATTCAAAGGACATCATCAGCTCTCTTGTTAGAAGGGGTCCAGGCTGAACACCCTCTTTTCTCTCAATGATCCCAGCTATGACACAGTTTTCTGATCTTCAACATCCTGGAGGCCCAAGACTATTCAAATATGTCACAAATATCTCTAATCACATCTTGTGATTATGACTTGGATAGAAGATAAACATTATTTCCATAATGATGAACATAAGACATTTGAGATTTTTTTAATTTTTAGAGTTGTTATTTTGAATTATTTACCTTCCTAAATCTAAAAAAATTCCCTTTAGAACTCTTAATTTCTTTCCTAATTTCTCTATCCTACTCTCAAGCAGGATCAACCTCCCAAACGCATTGCTTATCAGGCTGTGATACCAAACTGCACAGGAAAAGCTTAATCTTCAAGAACCTGTAGCTGTTCTCCCAGACATCCATATCTCCTTGTCCTAACCCTTTGATTTATGTTATTGTTTTTAAGTCCCATTTTCCAGGCATTTGCTAAGCCAATAGAGAACTGGGCCAATTTCCAAAGTCCTGCTAAGAAGTTAATGTTGAATAAAACTTTTTTCAATGCGGCAATTGATCCGCAGTCATTGCCTGTTTGGGCTTCCCAACCACAGCTCCAGACAATCAAGGGGAAGGCTTATGCCATTTAAACGTCTCCCTTCCAGCAAAAGAATCTGGATTGCATTGTCAGAAAAGTAAAAAGGAGACATGTCAAAATTATAACTCATCTCTCTACCTTCAGCCTTATCAACTATGTTAAGTATAATAACATCTACTCACCAATTGCCTCAAGTCTCATTTTCTCAATGTGATTTCAGTCACTCATTCTTCAAAGACTATTTTATAGAGCAGCAGACAGGTCCCAGACCAACTCTACTCCTCTCCTAAACTCCTGTTCCATGCCCAGAGGAATCCCTTTTCCAATGACTAGACAGGGGCTGGGGACATTTAGAGGCCCGGGCTCCTTGTCTCAAGGCTGGACAACTCTGAAAAGCCAACCTAGTCCCAGAGCTCCTTGCAGAATTGGCTGAGGCCACTGTTGCAATCCCATCGAGTTTCCAATATTAATACCTCCTGGCCCAACCCAATCTTCTCACCTCCAATAGGTGTTGTTCCTCAGCCTTAGTGGGAAATAGTGTTATTTCCCATTAAACCAGCTATCTGCATGTAAATATCAGAGTCTGTTTCCAGTGGAAACCAAACTACAACGTGTGTGTGTGTGTGTGTGTGTGTGTGTGTGTGGATAGATAGATAGATAGATAGATAGATAGATAGATAGATAGATAGATAGATAGAGATATATGATAGAAGAAAGAAAGACATCCAAAGTTGTAGGTGACCTAGATTGGACAAATATAGCTGTCTCTTGTTGTTGCTGGAGAATTTGTTCCAAGACCCTCCCTCAAATACCAAAAGCCATGAATGCTCAAGTCTCTGATACAAAGTATTTTCATATAACCTATGCACATCCTCCCCTGTACTAATTCAGGGGAAGACCACGAAGAGCCTGTGTTCTCTTTAATAGTCATTTTATTCTCCATTTAAAGCCTTTGCCTCAAAACCCTGCAAGGTTATTCATCACTGCCAAATTGGAGTCTGTGAGATTTTCAGAAGAACCATTCATGTTACAAGTTTATATTCAGGTTTCAGTCACTGAGGAATTATTGGTGGCAGTGATCTTATAATTATCAGTTCTTTATTATCTTGAATATCACTTTATTGGCTTATCTGGTAGTCTCTTTTTAGGATTTGTACACTCTCATCTCTACATTATCTATAATACCTAATGCCATGTAAATGTTGGCAAATAGTTGTTACACTGTATTGTTTAGAGAATAATGACAAGGAAACAAATCTGCACATGTTCAGTACAGATGTAATCATCCTTTTTTTCCCAAATATTTTTGATCCACAGTTGGTTGAATCTGTGAATGTAAAACCCACAAGTATGGAGGGCTGACCATATGTTATACATAATCTGACACATATTTGTTATATATATACAATATATCATCTAAAACTGAATATTTGTTGCTCCAAATAGCCTCAAAATACGCCCCAAAAATTTATAAAATTTGGAGGAATTTATTGTTTATAATGAACATTTATCAAAATTAAGTGAATCATCTATTGTTATACTTTTTCATTAAAAAATACAAAGCAGGTATGGATTTAATATCTTAATGAACTATTTAGTTTATAATGAAGAATTTCTTGGCATTGCATGCTCAACCCGTTGAGATTATTTGGAGAGTTATGAGCTTTGCAGGAGATATTCATAACATTATATATCTAGAATGGGTTAAAATGGATTTCTCACCTTGAGGATAAACATTTATGACTTTATTTTCAGTAGAGTAGTAAAATAAGGACAAGGTAGAAATAAGGAGGCTTGGTTTCACTCCTGCCTGCACCTCTAAATTGTTCTGCAAACTTTTCTGGGTCACTGTGCTTCCTGGCCTCAGTTCCCTATCTGTGGAATGAAGAAGGTGTCCTTGATGTAATTCCAAATCTAACATTCCATAACTGTAAGATGACATCCCTAGTCCTTTTATATAATTGTTATAACTATTAAAGAATAAAAGTACAGAACAGTAAACTTCTAAAAACACTGCTTCTACAGATGAACTATGGAAATACCTCATTAGTGACACTTTAAAACAATCTGCACTGTACTAAGAAAATAGTACTTTGCACTATCTGTAGACATAGCAACTAACAGGATGTCTGCCACATAGCACCAGCTGAATACATTCTTGATAAATGAGTAAATGATTGTTATGTGAATGCATGTTTCCATTCCTGTCATTATCCCACAACAACTCCAAAGGGAATACAATAAATTCTGTCCAATGAATGAGCCCATGTCTCAGATATTTTACCTTCATCTATTTACTAATCTACCTCACAAAAAATGATATCCTTGTGGAAAGTATTTCAATAGAGAAATAATATCCAACTGTGATCTAAGTATTTTAATTAAGCCAACATGTAGTTTAAATTGTTGAGTTGCTGATTAGAGCAATCTTTTTTACTTGTTTTGGAGTGAAAGTGCTTTCAAAATGCTTCCATGAGAATTGGAGGGCTGCAGACATATGGCCTTATGTGGTGAAATCCAGTTCTTGTTCTTAGACTCAGCAGAGTACAGTTTTTAAAGGGATTTGATGTTTGACATTTCAGTGGGTTCAGCATAAATGCAGATGGTTGGGGCCCATCTTATGCCTAAAGGTGTTCCTACATGTCTTTTAATGCCTTTACTTTGAAGCTGACCTGATGTCTTCTCGCTGGCCTTGTGAGATGGGATTTGCTGTCTCCACAATCTCAGTTTTGAGTCCCAGCTCCACTACTGATTGGATGTATTTTCTTATCTATAAAATGTGGATAACCACAGGTGATTATTATATGAGGTTATACCAGTAAACTGCTTAGCATGGTACTTAACATATACTAATGATTTCTATGAATATGTTTGCACAACTTACTGTGATTATGGTAAAGCATATCATTAAATCCTTGGAATTATTTTTTAATTTATGAAATAACTTTAGATGATTACTAAAAGTTCTGATTTTGAAATTTTGGAAGTCTACATCTCCTCTTTTATAAACTGATATAACATCAAGTAGATTTTTGTGACTAAGATGTAATTATTTCCACTGTATTTTCAAATATCCAACTGGAAAGATCACTGAGAAGTATTGCCCAAGTAAGCTGGATATCCCAAAAACTGTGAGCCAAAAAATAATATAGAGATAAGTATCTTGTAGTTGAATACTGACTAAAGAAATTATAACATATCAGTGTACTTAAAACACTGTAGAGAAGTAGAGAAGCTAAAAATGAACTGCTCCATGTGTGAATTCTATTGCTACTTGGAAATGCGTCTAAGAAACATTACCTGAAAAGAGCAAAATATCAAGGACTCTGAACCACCACTGTCCACAGTGGGCTGTCATGCCAAGTGTAGTTTATGCATCTCTCCACAGCTGCATTGTTGCCTACAGCCCCACAAGGTGCCTCCATGCTCCGTGGCAGCCGGAAATAGCAATGTCTTCAATCACACGCCTATAAAAGCAAGGCGACTAAGAGTTCAGACCCCTCAGGGCTAAAGGCCTGGATTATCCAATTGGTCAGACCGGCTGAAATGTTGGTTAGTAGTGAAGAATCTTGAATGGGCAGTAAAGAAAGAAAATGATAAATACTAATTAGGATCCCAGGACCAGCTGCATGAGGAGAGCCTGTAGCTTGGCTTACAGACCCCCTTTCAATCTTTACAAGAGACTGCAAATGACCCTCTCCACTTTCTGGGAAAAAGTGAAGTCATCTTATTCTCTGGCCATTTAGTTTGTAAAGAACAGAGATGTGCCAGGTTGCTCAAATCAATTCTCCAAATGTGGTACTCAAATAGCAGCACATTTTCTTAGTGGATCTGTTCCCTTGATGACAGGCTTCCCCCCATTAAAATAAACCTATTATAGACTGAAGTATGAAAATCAGGTACATTTTTGAGATCCTAAGAAAAAGTGAAGGGAATCTCATGCTTGCTGCCTGCAGCTCCAGCCTGGATCTCCAGATCTCCAAGGCTCCCCATCTCGACTATCAGACTGTGGGACACTTTCATTGGAAATTCTGAGAAGCACAGCCTTAGGTGTTGGAGGTTTATGATAATGAAGAAAGAAAACTCAGAGGACATCTCTGAAACTACACAGCCAGGCCTAGTGGAGAAATGAAGTAGGCTCCGTACTGTCTGAGCCCCACACAGCTCATGGTCTCTCCCCATCTTACTGGACCATGAGGACCCTTCATCAGCAGATGCCCACGACTGCCCCTCCACTGATGCCATTATTGCCATGATGCAGCTTCTCTGTCTCTGCCCCCTCCTCCATCCAAGTCTTTCCCTTCTCCCTCTTATGATACAACCCCTTTGTTTTTACTGATTGATCTTATGACACATCCCTTTTATTTTTACCAGTTGACTCATCTGACATTTTTTCAATGTAAAACATTGAAAAAAATTGGATAAAATATGTCCCTGCCATTGGATTACACATTAATTTCTGAAGTCAATCTTCCTGAGGTTACCGAGAATCTTTTATGACATTGAAAAAATGTCAGATGTGTCAACTGATAACTACTCAATATGCAACCTCACCACAGAACGGCTGAAGCACCTTGTAAACAAATTACATCTCATATTCGGCCACTGTTGGTTAATGCCCCAAGCTGGGCCAGTCAGTTTGAGGCAATGCACCTGGCCTTTGTGAGTGTGCAGCTTGTCTTGAGAAAAGACATTGGGCGTACATAAGATTCCCAAAAGTTCTCATGACTTGCAGACATGTCAACAGCATTGCT
Organism: Homo sapiens; assembly: GCF_000001405.40. Taxonomy (NCBI): domain Eukaryota; kingdom Metazoa; phylum Chordata; class Mammalia; order Primates; family Hominidae; genus Homo; species Homo sapiens. Next base: position 11,496,928 of record NC_000018.10, read on the forward strand.
CTAGTGAAGAGTGCTTTAGAGAAGAGAGAGGCTTGTAACACCAGCTGCCATCTGCACTGGTGCCGCGCCAGGCACTGTGCTGAGAACTTTACAGCCATGATCTCATTTAATTCCTCTTAAACATCCAAGTTGAAGTTGTGTCCTATTTTATATCATAAATGTCATTATATCAAAAAATATATTTTTCCTGTGCAACATATATGTTGTGCATATTCCAGTACATAAACTTTTAACAGCTTGCATAGCATCCTCAGATTTCAATATGATTTTTAAATACCCCACTCAGAAGAAATTTAATGTTTCTTTCATCATACTCTGAGTCAGCTTAAATCACTATGTTTTTAATTATTCCACTTTCACGGAAAAATACAAAGTGATGAAAATTGCCTTTCTAAATATTTCTTCCATTGAAGAACAATTCTCAGGTTTCTATTCTTCTAGAATTCAAAGAGTTTTCAGTATTTAGGAGTATTTGCCCCTTTGCTGCAAAATTCATCCTCTTCAATAATTTTTTTTAAGTGAGCACAAAATGCAACAATGGTAGGGTTAATTGATTTTGATAGACCCACCAAAAATCATCAGCAAACATTTATGACTTTCCATTGAAGACAATTCCATCAACGTGTTGTTTCCAAGCATCTTTGAAATACCCAGTGATCCCTCCAGTAGAATCTCTTATGAGACATAAAAACTACTGGCACAGAGAATAATTCAGTTTTACTTCTATCAATGAGTATTATCTAATGTTGCTTAGAGGTTTTATGAAACCAGGGAATCATCCATTCCCATCTATGTTTATTCCTGAAAATTGCGGCCTTGGTGTTATACAGAGACCACGATTGCACAAAGAAGGCCTCAGGGGAGCAAACATGACCTCATCCTGTGAGGGAGAGCCACAGCTCACTGCCACATGCACAGAGGATTAAAAGGCAAGTGGGGAGACAAAATACTGTGATTAAAAAAAAAAGTACAAAAAATTAGCTCATCCAATGATGAAGACAAGACAGCAAATGCCAAATTAGCTTAATTGAGCATGCAAAATTAGATGTTCACCTTGATGAACATAATTATTACAATTTCAAAACTGCAAATGACCTCAGGAAAAAAACCTAGGACAGCCTCATTCCCAATTGAAAACAAACAAAAAAACAAAACAACAACAACAACAAAAAAAAGCAGAGTTACCCCCAGTATAATGCAGAGCTGGTGATACGGTTTGGCTGTGTCGCCACCCAAATCTCACCTTGAATTTTAGTAATCCCCAGGAGTCAAGGGTGGGACCGGGGGAGATAATTGAATCATGGAGTTGATTCTTGTGGTAGTGAATAAGTCTCACAAGATCTGATGGTTTTATAAATTGTGTCCCCTGCACAAGCTGTCTTGCCTGCCGCCATATAAGGCGTGCCTTTGCTTTTCCCCTCGACTTCTGCCATGACTGTGAGGCCTCCCTAGTCATGTGGAACTCTGAGTCCATTAAACCTCTTTCCTTTATAAATTACCTGATCTTGGGTACATCTTTATTAGCAGCATGAGAACAGACTAATATGGCTGGCAATAGAATGGACAAGACCCTCACTTGCACCTTTCTGCCTTCATGGGCAAAACCCACAGCACTCACACTTTCATAGATTCTGGCAATTATATCCTAGCCCTGCAGCTTTAGAGATGCAAGAGCTGCACCTCTGATCACCTGGCCTGCTTTTGAATTTTGGCTGCAAAGACTAACACTCAGGGCTTCTGACTGCTTTTCTTTTCGCCCACACGTAAACTTGCTACGTTTCTTCCCCACCCCATTGTTTGTCCAGAAAGCTACAAATCTTTCCAGAAATATCCATATGGCATATCTCTGAAATCAGTCAGCCAGAGGTCAGTATGTATCTGTGCTTTAAACTTTATGATTAGTGCCCTAAAAATATTGTTATAGTCTGCATTGGGTAAAACGTGCCCCTGCCCTTGGATTTCACATTAATTTCTGAAGTTAATCTTCCTGAAGTTACTGAGAATCTCTGTGTTGCTAAATCCAGTGGAATTTCTTCCCTCCTCATCTTACTGGACCATCTGTAGCTTTTGGCACCATTGACTATTATTCTCTCTCCTTGAAATACCACCTTCCTTTGGTTTCCAGGAAACTATATTCTCTTGGTTTTCCTCCTGCATGTCCCTCTCAATCTTCCTTGCTGGCTCATCCTCCTCCACCCAGTCATTAAATGTTGTAATTTCTCAAAGTTCATTTATAGTTCATTCCTTTCACACTCTATCAATACCCATGGCCATACAGAGACTCCCAAATTCCTTTGTCCAATCTTGATTACTCTTCTGAGATCCAGAGCTATATAGCTAGATGGATGTCTTTCTAGCTGTCTCTATTGGGATATCAGAAAGACACACTTCAACACTATATGCTTCTGAATTCGTAACATTTCCCACAATAACAACCTTAGTCTGCTTCCAGTGGTTCCTCTCTGAGTAAAACCAGCATCCACCATTTGGAGATGCTTCAACGCTGGCAGTCAATCCAGTCTTTCTCTCTCTCACTGTGTGTAAATTGTCTCTCTCCCAGTCAAGGGAGATTTTCCTTCCTAGGTTTCTCTGTCTCCATCCTCACCACCACCCTCATCCTAGAAACCATGCCTGCCCATGCCGCAACCTCTTGATTTGTCTCCATACATCTGGCCTGTCCATCTGCGTTTGTTCTCCACATGGTGAACAGAAAGTTCTTTACAAAATGCAAACCTGATTTTACCACCCTTTGCCTAAAATCCTTCCGCAGCTTACCCCAACTCCAGGTATAAAGCCCATAGGCTCTTCGTGGTCTTCTCCTGCCTAAGTCATTCACTCCATCTGCACCCTACTCCCCCCACCCCAGGATGCCCAAGCACCGGCGACACCCAGTGCTTTCAGCTCATCAGACAAACCATTCCTTTCCCCACCTCTGCCACCTCCACCAGGCCTTGAAGACATTTTCCCTCTACTCAGAAGGTACTCCTCATCCTTCGGCAAGTTCAACCCTATTTCTCCTTCAGATCTCAGCTGAAACATGACCCCTCCAGAAAGGCTTTCCTGAGTGTCCCGTCTAGCTCAGCCCCTCACCACGCTTCCCGGCTCTCGGCCTCTCCTGGAAGCGCTGGCCACTGCTGGGCTTCCGCACTTCCTCTGTGTGTATGTGACTGCATGTTCCGAGGCTCCACATCTTTGGGCTTAGGAACCACTTCAGGTTTCATTGTTTTCTGTACAAATCACGGTGTGTAGCCAGGACCTGGCATATAGCAGGCACTTGATAAATATTCACTAATATCAGTCAATGATTTCACCCTTTTTATGCAAACTTTTGCAACAGGCTGGATTATTCAGGAGGGATAGTATATTCTTGAGTTATCAGTCAAGTAGATTCCCTCTCCTCCCCTGCCCTGTCCTCAACCAGCCTGACTTCAGCAATTTCACTCATTATTTGTCTTCTAGAAGAGACAACTTGCCTCCTAGAGATAGATGAGAGGGCGACTTACTCTGCCTACTTACAGGTCATGCTAGAAACGTTTTTCTAGGAAAGGTACTGAAACCCTTAACAAAAATCAGTTTGTGGTTCATCAATTCACATTGTTTAAATGCCTCATGAGAATGGACAAGTGGAAGTAAGCTACAGCTATTTTTGTGACTCACCAAAACTAGAGGTCACAGCTGTGCCCCAGGGCAGTCCTGCCCAAAGCTACTTGCTTTCAACCTCACATGAGTCACCCTGTGCGGCTGGAAAGAGCAAAGTCTTGACGGAGATTCCATTTTTTTTTTTTCTGGCCGAATGACTAATAAAAGATCACCTTGTCAAATTTAGCCTTAGCAACAGGCAGTAAATTTGTAAGTGTACTGTTGAATTAAGTTCCTGCTCTTAAATTTGAAAGGATAGATTTGTCACCTTAAAAAAAAAAGATTTTAATTTTAAAAACAAGTGATTCTCTTTATCCTCTGTAAAGATTCCTGGCAAGTTATCTTTGCCAGGGCAAAAAATAGAGGCCTGGAGGCTTTCATGTATTTTCTAAAGGTGAGCAGGTCACCGGTCAAAAGTTCTTCACTATAGACAAAGGGATGGTGTATTTACTATTGCTTATACAGATAGTTGTGTTTAAACTGGTTGGCCTTTAAATATTTGACCCCAAGAAGAGGGCATCTTTTCTTTATCAGGCTAAAAGTTTTTAAACGTAGAAAAATCAAATAAAGAAAACGGAAATTTTCAAAGATTAGAAGGGATCCAGATTTAGCCACAGTGAAATTGCTCAGCACAGGGGACATCTAAGAAAGCATACTATACTAAAAAAAATTCTTCATTATTACTATCATTCCCATATTTGAAGTTTGTCCATAAATGCAAACCACAAATATAGAACATTGCATCACAAAGATGTTCTTCATAGCCTAAGAAAGTAGAGCTGCTGGACTTCTCTTCATTATCAAGATTTACCATTACAGGCTTTACACTTTTAAATTTGTTTGTATCCGTTTTACCAATGAGGAAATTGACAGCCAGAGAAGTTAATTAATTTGTTTAGTGGTTCCCAGAGTACAAAGAGCATAAAAAGCTGAGCAGGCACCATGGTGCTTAGGAGTGTGGACTCTAAAGACATGCTGCATGTGTTTACATCCCTGCTCCATCATCCACTGTGTGACTGCAGGCAAGTCCAATGGCTACTCTAAGCCTTGGCTTCCTTGGCTATGAAACACAGATGATAATACTGAGCTCGTACCATCATTTTACATTCTAAGTGAGATCATGCATAGCAAGCAGTCGAAACAGTGCCTGGCACATCGTAAGCTCTTAAAAGCTTTAGCTGTGTTTTAAAATCACCTGGAGAGCTCACTAAAGATTAGGATACCTGGGAACCTCCTCAAGAGATCATGATTCACTAGATCTGGGCAAGAACCTAGGAATCTGCATTTTGATAAACACTGCCAGTGAGTTGGAAAACCACTATTAGTGCAGCCAGATGTACCTAATTCCAAAGTTAATGTTGCCTCATCAGGAAGCAAATTCTTCAGTCCCTTCCCATTTTGTATTGGTATTCCTGTGATTTTTCAAATGGGCCAAGTGTTACTTCAATTTAACACCTTCCTAAGTAACACCTCGTCTACATTGCTTTGGGAAAAAAATCACTTTTTTTTGCCTCTTAGATGCTCTCTTAAGTCACAATATTTTCCATGATGTTGCTCTTCATTTTTAGAGTCCCATGGACCTGCCACGACCAGGCCCTTATGTCCTTCCATCGTGTAGCATCAAGGACTTGACTCGTGTCCTCTCTAGGCTATAACCCAGTCTCCAAAGCCAAGCCCGTGTGACCAGAGACAGCTGAGTGTTCAGGGGTAGCTGTGTTTCAGGCCAACTCCAATTTGGTGTTTTTGTTTCCATCCCCAAACCAGGGGGCCTGCAAGCCCCACATATCAAACAACTGGTTTGTGGAATTGGCTGTTATTACAGGGAGATAACTGAGCTGCCTCCTGAAATCTGAGGTTCTTAAACCAATTGGGTATCATATATACCCAGTGCTTTCTGGAAAAGTAAAGTGTACAACTCAATTTTCACCATGTTGTTTTGGAGAGCAGACCTCAGAAACCAAAGGCAAACACTCAACATTCCAATCCAACTCCATCGTCTTCCATGACATGGGCAGTGAAGTCACATTTGGTTAGGGCTTTAGTTGCTCTCCAGGAATGATGAACTTAGCTTGATAACAGATGTTCTAAGAAGCTAACAAAAGCTACCAAGCAAATAATTTTTTTCTAGTATCACTGTATGCAGCTTTTTCAAAATGACCAAGTGATCTGACAATAGAAGGAAAAAGCAATAGGGTGATTCCATATTGTAAGCCAGATATTCAATTTGAACCAAGCTCTTTGAAGCCCTCAGTAGCTAAGTAATTAGTCTTTTTCTAAATTCTTATAAAATTTCAAGACCATGAAACACTATGGAAGATGTCAGAACAGCAAGCAGCCTCAAAGTGCTGTAGATGGGATAATTGGAAAATAAGAAATAAGAATTCACTAATCTTTTCTCTAATTTATAGTAAATTCAATTGTGTTTACATATTGGAAGACTTGTACTTTTTTCTGTTAGTAAAATATACCCCAAATGTTTCAGGATCTCCTGCTCAAAGAACCTAGAGTATGCTTAAGTACTTTGTGTTAAACAGTACCATGGTGGGTTTTTTTCTCTATCATTTCAGTAAATCCAGCCATTGCACCTGTGCACAGGTGTGAAGAGAAAGATCAATAAGTGAGACTTCTTTCCCAAGGGCCCTTCCCCTCCTCACCAGTTAAACCCAACAGCTGAGGAACTGTCAGCCTGTACTGAGCCTTTCTATCAAAGAAAGGATAGAAAGTTATTAAAAAGTGGTAAATATGGAGGTTAGGAAGCTATGTAAAGAAGGATGCATAAGATAATGTGAAATGAGAAAAAGCGGAATAAGAAAATGAATAGTTACTGATTAAAACGATGTTAAAAACCATACAGCATGCACAGTTACTGTCAGGAGACCACAATTTGTGCTCTTAAGCTATTGGCTGGAATATGATCTGCAGCAAAAAAAAAATATATATATATAAACTTCAGTTCATTCTTATAAATCGGTCCAGTGAAAACAAGAGTACCAGTATATATAAAGATAAACACACACACCAAATATACATATACATATTACATATTACATTCTTGTAAAAAAAATTTTTAAATGACCTCTGAGCCAGAAGGTGCTGAAGAGCACATACATGGCTGTTATCTCGAGGTGGGATTGGGGGCAGAGGGTGTTTATTAACCTTTGTCACAGCCTTCAGTGGTCCAAGAACCTGCTGCTCCCGGGTCCTCTCATTTGAAGACACCCACCGCCTAAGGATGAAGAGAAGCTCCTTCTTGCAGATCTGAGGCTGATTTCCCAACTCCCAGGAACACCCTACCCACAGCCTGTTCCCCAGACCCAGGTCTGTCCCCTTATGCCTGGTCCCAAGTCAAAACCAGCTGTTCCTATTTTAGAAGACAATACTACTTCTTCCCTTGCCTTGTATTACCAGTGGTCTAGGTTGTCTGAGGCTCCTCAGGGTACAGCCCTATTCATCTCTGTGTGTCTGCAATGCCAGGCATAGCACTTGTTACAGAGTTTTTGTTCCATTGTACACAGGGACTTATAGAGTGCAATAATAGACACTGGTGAGATGGGGGTGAGGGTTGAAAAATTACCTATAGGGTACAATGTTCACTATTCAAGCAACAGGTGCACTAAACACCCAGACTTCACTACTACACAATATATCCATGTAACACATCTGCACTATACCCCCAAGTCATAAATCTATATGATACATACAAATTAAATATATATGTATCAAACTAAATACATGTATATATTTAAACACAGGAAACTGGAACTGATTATTTTACAAAACGAAGTTACTCTTTATCTTCATGTGACTAATACCCTTCAATGGTGGAATTCTTAAAACATAACATTTTTACTTTCTACAGAAAGCACAGAAACACAGAAGTGTTTTTAAATGATTAAAATATTTTATAGGAATGTACTCTTTAGTCCCAATATCAGTAGGGAAATGTTTCTATACAACAGTGAATTCATAGCATAGCATTACATGCAAAGGTTGAAAAGAATTAGGATAATCTACATGTACTAACATGAAAAGATCTTTAAATGTCATGTTGTCTGAAAACAAACTGTAGAAATATAAGTAGGGCCTTCTGTCATTTTTAACTAAGGTAAGTAAATCATGTATTCAGATGAATGAAAATAAGTTTACAGAGGTCTTGCATAATTTTAAGTTTTTAAAACAGCTCCCACATACACATACATAAATCTGATCATCTCAATAAAAACACAGAGAGAAAGAGAGACATCCCGCTCTTATTCAACAGGAATTCTTGACCAAGACTACAAATGTAGCCCATTTGACATCGAAAACATTGGGACAGGTGTGAGAGTGAGGAAAATGGGGAGAAAAAAGAACTTTGAAGACAAGGATTTGAAGTTAGCATGAAGCATGGAAAGGAGGAAGGGCAAGCTTTCTGCAGTGAGGACAGTGCCTGCCAGAGAAAACCAGATCCTGGGGAGGGGTTTCTCCAGAAAGAGAAAGTCAAAGCTGCAGGTAGGCTCTGGAGACAAGGAGCTCGCATGCAGTGAAGGTGGCGGCCACATTGAGAAATCACTCCAGGCTGAAGGACATGCACCAAAGGCGGGAGGGGTGGCACCATGGACAGAGCTTCGGATGGGTGCAGGTGGGGCTAAGAAGGCAGCATGGGGCAGATGCTGCAAGTATGGAAGCCAGGACACGAGCTTCCTTCCAACCACCAAAGGGCAACTCACAAGCAAAATTCTTTCCTAATGCTTCACCACGTTTTTTTTCTTTTTTAGACAGATCTCACTCTGTTGCCCAGGCTGGAGTGCAGTAGTGCAGTCACAGCTCACTGCAGCCTCAAACTCCTGGGCTGAAAGGATCCTGGCACCTCAGCCTCCTGAGTAGCTGGGACTACAGGTGTGCGCCATCATACCCAGCTAATTTTTTTATTTTTTGCAGATACGGGGTCTCCCTATGTTGCTTAGGCTGGTCTTGAGCTCCTAGCCTCAAGTCATTCTCTTACCTTGGCCTCCCAAAGTGCTGGGATTACAGGTGTGAGCCATGGTGCCTGGCGACCTCACCATTTTTGCTGACTGAATCACTTGACTAACCTAACTATAGCTTGCTGCTGAAGATGCTGGCAACCTAGTAGACAATACGTCAAGATGTGAGGATGCTCCATAGTAATGTAATACCTTCCATTCAACCAAGGTTAAAAGTGTCAACTAAATGCTAATGTCTCCACCAACCACAGATGGGGTTTGCAGGAGCAATGGCTGTAGGGACACTAAGATTTCACCCTCCAGAAGACAGCATCTTCCTGTGCCATGGCTAGATCACCAGCTACCCACAGACAGCCTGAACTCCAATTGTCTTCCTGCACATGTGCCTTTAAAGGTTTTACTGGCATTATTGCTTTTTTACTTCTGGTAATTGCTTTAAAAGAACAAAGCTCTTTGTTTAAGGGGGGCCCAGGGATCTTATAATTGCCACGAGGCACATGAGAGGTTTCTAGACTTTCTAAACAGTTTCTCTTTTAACATTAAATATTAAGTTCATAATGTTTGGCCAAGATGTAGATGCTCCCTAGGGAGGGGGAGGTGATGCTATCAGGAAGATCGTGTAGACTGGTAAGAGATCCCTCCTGCATAGCTGACTTCAGAACCACAAAAAAGCGCACCTGAGGAGGGGTGCTGGCCACCCTGTGCCCATGCAACCACCATGTCTTGCCAGAAGCAGGGCACACTCTAGTCCCAGCTGCGTCAGGGGCTTCAGACTCATTAATACTATTTTCTACATTAAAATAAATGATGACGTATCTGTTCACCTGCAATGAATCACATCAAGTCAGTTCTTAAATGAGTGTTTCCAGAATCCTTAGGGGCTCCAACCCAGCTAGTGCAGGGGCTCAATGACTTAACCCTTCTTTTCCCATGGTATATTTTTCCCCAGAATTTTCCAGCCGAACTAACAGTAATTTCAGTGACATTAAATACTGTTACAGGAACTTTTCAAATGTAGAGGAGCCTTTAGAAGGAAGCCTTGAGCATGAGGACAGACCCCCCTCATCCAACCACCACCTGACTCTGTGTGAACCTGGAACTGTTAGGTGAGCCCGTCGGCTTGAGTGGACAACCCAGGCTTGCAAAAGGGGAGACTGGGGAAAGCTTTGTCTTTCCCTTTCCGGGGGAAGACCCATTTTTAAAATTACAATGTCCTATTTTCACAGAATGTCTGTGCTGTGATAAAAGGTCATCTCCCTACAATGTTATGATACAGACCTCAAACCTACAAACATGAGGAACTTCTGCCTCCAGGTTAACTGCTTACCCACTGTACAAGACACGTTACACACAGTCCAGGAGGCGGAGCTTCTGAGATATCTAGAAACAGCTTAGAGGCAAAATGACAAAATAAAGCAGCAACAACAAATAAAACCAATCTTCTCGAACTGGCTCTCGCTTTGGTCTAACTAGTTATGCACTACTTGGATAACTATATCAAGTTCCCTTGAGTCGTCTTTTACTTTAAAATGTTATTGTAGGACTGACTCATCCATTCCTTATCATGCCCAGTGTACTGTTCATATCTCATAGTCAACTTGGTGCTAAAAGTAGTGACGAGCCATTTACAATGCCAGAAATCAAATTTTGTATCAGTTAGAATCAGGTTTGTCTCCAAACAATAAATAATAATGAATGTGATAACTTGGATGAAATGGCCAAATCTGTTAAGAAATGAGAACTACCAAAATTCACTAAAGAAAAATAAGTAACCTTGTATAGTCCTGTATCTATTTGAAAGCAGGAATTATAGTTCAAACCCTTCACACACACAAAGGCTACCAAATTTTTTTTTTTTTCTGAGATAGAGTCTCGCTCTGTCACCCAGGCTGGAGTGCAGTGGCGCGATCTTGGCTCACTGCAAGCTCCACCTCCCGGGTTCACGCCATTCTCCTGCCTCAGCCTCCCAAGTAGCTGGGACTATAGGTGCCCGCCACCACGCCTGCCTAATTTTTTGTATTTTTAGTAGAGACAGGGTTTCACCGTGTTAGCCAGGATGGTCTCAATCTCCTGACCTTGTGATCCGCCTGCCTCGGCCTCCCAAAGTGCTGGGATTACAGGTGTGAGCCACCGTGCCTGGCCAAAGGCTACCAAATATTTAAGGAAGAAATAATACCAACTGCACACAAATTTTTCAATAAAATTAAAGAGGGAGGGATACTTCCTAACTCATTCTATGAGGCCAGCATTAATTTGATAACAAAACTAGACAAAGACCTTATAAAGAAAATACAGACCAGTATTTCAGATGAGTATAGATTTAAAATTATAAACAAAATTTCAGCAAATCAAGTCCAAAAATACATAAATACGTCATGACCAAGTATGGTTTATTTCAAGAATGCAAGACTGTTTTAACATTAAAAATCTATCAATATAATTCATTATATTATAACAAAATAAGGTAATAATTCATAGAAAAAAACAATTATGTCTATAGATTTAGAAAAAATTTTTGAAAAAATACAAAGTGTTATTGATAAAACTCTCATAAATTAGAAATAAAAGAAAACTTTCTTAACCTGATAAAGGGTATTTATTTTAAAAACCTATATCCAACGTAATTCATAAACGTAATAAGAATGTCAGTTTATGGTGAAAGACTGTATGGCTTCCCAGTAAGATCAGGAATAAGGCAAAGATACCCATTCTCACCACTCATATCCAACTTTGTACTAGAATTTCTACCCTGTACAATAAAGCAAGACAAAGAAATAAAATGTGTCTAGATTGAAAAGGAGAAACATTCTTTATTCACAGAAAACATGATTGTCTATTTAAAAAATCCCATGGAATCTCAAAAAAATAAAAGTCATGAGAACAAATAGGGGAGCTTAGCAATGTTGCTGAATATAAGATATATAAAGTCAATTGTATTTCTACATGTTAACTAACAATGAGAAATTTAAACTTTTTAAGAAATCCCATTTACAACAGAATCAGAAAACAAAAGTTACTTTGAAATAAATCTGAGAAAAATGTAAAATACTTATACACTGAAAACTAGAAAATATTGCTGACAGAAAATTAAAGAAGACCTACATAAGTGGAGGCATATACCATCTTCATAGATCAAAAGACTCAGTATCAATAAGCAGGGATTTCTGTAGAAATTAACAAGATGACTCAAAAATTCACGTGGAATGCAAACAACTTAGAGTACCTAATTCCAACAATAACTTTGAAAAAGAATATAGTGAGAGGACTTACATTACCTGATATCAAGATTATTACAAAGCTACAATAACCAAGAGAGTCTTGCATTCGTGAACTGATAGACATAAAGACAAACAGAACAGAACAGAGTCACAGAATAAACCCATTTGTGCTGGGCCAATTTATTTTCCACAAAGTTACAAAATCAAGTCAATGGAGAAAGAATGGTGTCTTCAACAAATGATGCTGAAACAATTGGACACTATTATGAATTTTAGAGTCGTAATTCATAATTCACACCATACACAAAAATTAGTCAAAAAAGATGATAAATGCAAAACATTAAACTATAAAACTTTCAGAAAAAAACATAAGGGAAAATCTGTAATCTGAGGGCTAGACAACAATTTCTTACCAACAACAAAAGCCTTAGAAATATAGTCAATTGGATTTTGTCAAACTTAAGAACTCTCAAAAGACACTTCTAAGGGAATGAAAAGATAAGCCATAGACTAGGAGAAATTATTTGCAAATTACTTTTCTGATAAAAGACGTACTAAAGGTATTCAGAACATTTAAAGAACTCTCAAAACTCTGCAAGGGAAAACAACCCTAGTGTTTAAACATGGCAAAAGATCTTAATAGAGAGATCATCAAAAAAATATATAAGAAGGCAAACAAGCACATGAAAAGATATTCAATATCAATATTCATTAGGGAAATGCAAATTAAAACCTCGATAAGATCCCACTACATACATTTGAAAATGTCTAAAATTAAAAAGACTAATCACCTCAAGCATTAATGAGGATTTACAGCAATTGAGACTTCATGGACTGCTGGTGGGAATCAGCAATATTATAGCCACTTTAGAAGAGATTTTGGAGGCTGGGCACAGTGACTCATACCTATAATCCCAGCACTTTGGAGGCCGAGGTGGGAGGATCACTGGAGCCCAAGAGTTTGAGACCAATCTGGGCAACATAGTGAGACCCTGTCTCTACAAAAAAAAAAAAAAGAAAAATTTTAATTAGCCAGGCATGTTGGCACATGCCTGTAGGCCAAGCTACTCTGGAGGCTGAGGTGGGAGGATAGATGGAGCCTGGGAGGTTGAGGCTACAGTGAGCCAAGATTTCACCACTGCACTCCAGCCTGGACAACAGAGTGAGACCTGTCTCAAAAAAGAAATAAAAGAAAAGAGCTTGGCAATTTCTTAGAAGTGTTAAACTCGTAGCTACTGTATCACACAATCGTTTCATTCCTAGGCTTCATCCAGGACAAACAAAGCACATGTCCACACAAAGACATGTACGCAAATATTCATAGCAGCTTTGTTTAGAACAGCTGAAAACTAGGAACAATCTACATGTCCATCAAAAGGTTAATAGATAATGAAATTCTACTCAGCAATAAAAAAGAATAAACTATTATTGAAACACTCAATGAGAGGGTTGAAACTCAAAATAATTATGCTGAGTGAAAGAAGCCATATCCCTCCCAAAA